>NC_000009.12:106856915-107008430 GCF_000001405.40 Homo sapiens
TTACTCCAAAAATCTTTCTTTCAATTTTGATAACAGTATATGTATTTTGATATGCATTGAAAATGTATAAATAGCCCATCAGACCTGTGATTTGTGAATATTATTGCTTATGATGAAGTTAAAAATTTTTTAAAGTTGACTTTAAAAATGTATATTAATTAAATAACAGGACCAAGTTACATGAAAATATATCCCCCCCAAAAAAAGAAAAAGAATAAGAAGAAATCTTGAATATGATATGAGAATGATAACTTTGGAGAAACTACCATTGAAGTGTAGACTCTAGGGCTGACTGCTCCTTACCAGCTCTGTGTTCCTGAATAAATCACTTCCTTTCCCTAAGCTTCAGATAGAGAACAAATAGTAAGAACCTGGAAATGCTGGTCTTTCTGCTGGAAGTGATGCTTCAACAAATGGGCAATCTTTGACTTGAGTCTTGTCTTCAGAATTTGGTTAATCTAACCCTAGTTGATCTAAGGTTGTTATTTTGCACTTTTAAAAAGATTGGCTAGGCGAGGTGCCTCAGGCCTGTAATCCTAGCACTTTGGGAGGCTGACGTGGGCGGATCACTTGAGGTTGGGAGTTTGGGACTAGCCTGGCCAACATAGTGAAACCCTGTCTCTACTAAAAATACAAAAATTAGCTGGGTGTGGTGGTGCATGTCTGTAGTCCCAGCTACTTGGGAGGCTGAGGCAGGAGAATCCTTGAACCCGGGAGGTAGAGGTTACAGTCAGCCAAGATAGCACCACTGCACTCCAGCTGGGGCGACAGAGCAAGACTCCATCTAAAATAAAATAAAATTAAATATCTCTTTGAGGGAGAATTTCATGTTAAATTATGAGTTAAGCCAACACATTGGCTTTACAACGAACTCCAAAAATTTTATTTTGACAAAATATTACTCCTTAATAGCTTCATTGTGAGAACAGAAATATTCAAATTAATTATAGTTTCATCATAGGCCAAATCCTGGTATTGCTTTTGAGTAAAAAATCTGAAGTTTTATATCCAAGTAATGTTATATTGAAGCTAGTGGTTGATCATGCATCAAAAATTTGACTCATTTCAGTTATTCATCTTCGTATCCCTAGTACTCAGTTCTGAGAATGGCGTAATACAGATGCTAAACAAATACTCAATGATTGAATGAAATTACACATTACATATTACAATAACTAGTTTGATAGAACTGTAAATTTAACTACTACCTATGGAAGAAAGACTTTCTTTTGAATTTTAGAATATCACTATCGAAACATCTTTGGTATCCAAAGGCATATATACAAAGATTCATATGGAGTAAGTTTAATATAAGTTATTGCAATGTCTCTTCCTTTGAAAGCTGTTCAGAATCATGAATCATCCACCTTTGTCTTCTGTTAGTCACTTTTCCCTAGGCATGGACACTAGTTACCTAGTTATATATGTTTAAATATGGGTTTATGACAATATATTGATTTTTCTGTAAGAAATTAGAAAGAAGGTGTGCTAGTGACTTCACTTTTTTGATATTTGGAGGGTCCATAATTATCCAATTTGAAGTTTTAAGAAAAACTTTTTGAAGACTGAGTAATTTCCAACGAGTAAAGATCACAAGAATTCAAAATAGATAACTCATTGAAAAATCACAAGCAAACTCAACTAGTAAAAAGACTACATTGCATTGCATAGAAAGGAAGTTTCACATAGGCAGGGAAATACCACAAAGAGATGTGTAAAATGTGGTTAAAAAGCCATATTGTATTCACCTACTCTTTCTTTTGCTAAAATCATCAACTTGAATAGTTTTCCAGCTGGAATTTAGAAAACGGGGCTATCAACTGGATTTTTTTTTTTTTTTGTATAGCTTTCAGGAAGCAGGAAGACTTTTCTCTTTTTAAATGATAGAACATAAATACTGAAACAATGACATTGGAACATCTATCCATTCTTGTTTCGGTGGAAAGTCTATCTAATTCAGCTTCTGGACCGACTGTTCGTTTTTCCATGATCTCTTCCTGCAGGTTTGCTAGAAGTCCCTTTCCCCCCATAAACACCTTCCTTTGGGAGATTTGGGTGCCTTCCTTTTTTAAGGTTTTAAAAACTAAAATGATTTATAGACTATCCGTATCCTGTTAGAGTTGGGCAAGTGAATGGATCATATTTGCGTGGGTCACTCTGATTATAGGACTTCACTGTTTCTTGAACTAAAAGTGCAAGATTTATTATTCTATTAATGCTCATAAAGTCACTCTTTTGATGAGCCATAACTTCTCTTTATGAGGAGTGTGTATGCCAGTCACCTATGATAAGGGAGAAGAAAGTCCAGACTTCTAACATATTCACTCACATTCCCTGCAACATTAACAGTCTTGAAACCCTATATGACTCCAGGGGATAATGCCACAGGATAAAGTAACAAAAGGTAAATTTCAAGGAGTCAGGATGTCCCCGTGAGACTTCCCTCACAACGTTGGCTGTGTAGGAAACCAAATTTTTTGTATTTTAATTAACAAATTTAAACATTAACCCTCCTAATGGAGAAGATAACCCACCAACTAGCCTGGTATTATCTTTGTGACTATTCTTAGGGAACGAAATAGCAGGAGTGTGAACTTTCTCCTGTTTATCTTAATGGTCTGCTAATGGCAAAGCATAATTAGTTACTTAAATGCCACGTTTACTAAGGTTTTTACGAAAATCTTCAGCCACAGCGCTTTCCTTGACTGACCCAGCTTGTATTTATACAGTTTTATCATTTGAAAAATTGTCCCAAATAAAAACAAGAAAAAAAAAAAGCCCATTCCCCTTATGTTTAACCTCTTTCAATTATTTTCACTGGAGAGTTAAAGCGTTTGTGACTTCTAAAAAGTCGAAAAGATTACGTGTATGGCATCATTAATTGAATTTGTATCGCCCCCACATTCAAGAAGCAAGAGAGTTTTGCGATAGTTCGCTTCACAGCTTCAGGAAGTCAATTTGCTTCTAAACCAGAAGACCGAGTGTGTCTTCTCAAGACCATCGTGTGGTGCCGTATTTTTGATGGAAAGTTAACCATTGTACCTTTCCCCCATGCACCCACACCAGAAGCCTGAAAGCCACCATCTCCCCGTCGGTCTCTGGATCTCCTCGCTGCCTTTGTCCCTTCTAGACGTGGAGGCTTGGAGAGGAGGTTTGGTTTCCAAGGATTGGAGCGCTGTGAAGGGCGGGGCCATTCCAAGTCCATCTCCCCTTTTTGTCCTCTTCTCCCGGGACGGGAGGGTGGAGCCAAGTCCCCCCGCGGCCGGTTCGGGAGCTTTCTCTATCTCGGTCGCTCGAGGTGAGTGTGAAAGGGCGGCAGCCCGTTTAATTGCAGCGCAGGTTAATTTCTTGAGTTCACCGCAGTCGGTCCGCCAGCCGCTTCCCCGGTCTTTGCCAAGTGGGTTTACGAGGTCTGAGGCGTGTTGGGGCGCGCTCACGTTCTCGCAAAAGGCTCCTCCCCAGGGCTCAATTCCCCGACTGCGGGAAGCCCTTTGGTGCCCCAGGAGCCTTGGAAACCCAAGGTTTCCTCTGACCTCGTCGCTCCTTTCTCCCTCCCCACCGCCTGGTTCCCTACGTCCCTGCCCCCAGGGAAGGACGGCCCCCATCTTAGGACTTACGACCCAAGCCAACCCAGAAGGTACCTTCACGTCGATGAAGATTTTATCGCAGCCTCCAAAACCCAGCAGTAATAGGAGCTTTCAACCTGAAATACGATTGTTATTTTCCCGGTGCAGAGCTTGACAGAAAAAGTCAGCTTTTTATTAAAGACAAAGAGGTAAATTATCAGCCGGGACAGTGGAGGGACGGCGGAGACCTGGCGCGCTTCCTCCGGTTGCCACGAGGAATTTATGGGGTGGCGGCGGCCAGCGCTCAGACACCCCCCGGGTCCCGGTGGGGAGGAGCTCGGGGCAGGAGGACTTCCCTAGGTCCCTCCGGGCACTCGGAAGGGGGAGTCCTCCCAAAGCCGCACAAAGCCGGGATCATTTCAATCCGGAACAGCCTCAGCGTCCTCCTCCTCTCTCCTTTCTTCTTTCTCTTCTCGGTGACTCCCGTTCCCCTTTCGCCTCTGTCCTTTCTGCGCCTTGTTCTCGTCTCCTTACTTCTCTTCCCTCTCCTCGCCTTTCCTCTCCCTCCCCCTCCTTTCTTCTCCACCGCACGCGTAGAGTGTCATTTATTTATTTATTTATCACCCCCGCCATCAACACCCTTTTAGGGATCCCGAGCTTTTCAATGTGAGTGGGAGGAGAAAAGGGCAGGAAGTGTTGACTGGAAGTGGGTGAAATCGTGCCTCGGGGTGAGAGATTCTGCTCAGGAATATAGGGTCGGGAAAATCTTGGAAAATGAGGATTTAGATCTGTTTATGAAGCCCCGCTATCGGATGGGAACCAACTCCGCGCGCGTCTCCTCCTCTTCCTTTATTGTATGGATTTATAGGTATATATCTTCTCGGACTGTTGCTTGGGGGGAGGGAGGAGAAAGGGCGAGTATTTAAAGAGGACAGACTTGCCCAGGATCCTTAACACCGCGCCTTCACCGGATGCGCGCTCCTCAATGCAAAGGAATCCAGCAACATCCCCAATTCAGACGCGGACAAAAGAAACTTTAATTAAGGTCTCTTTCTGCCCCGCGCGCTGCGCGTTTCTCTCTCCTGAGGCTGTTGATGTCCAACTCCAAGATCCAAGAAATAGAAATGGTACAATCAGCCCATGCCCTTGAACTTCAATTGCTCCTGACTTGCTGCATTGATTTTTTTGATACTGTAGAACCCCCATCCCCAACCCCCACCGCTCCCAGTCCAATTAAAACCGTAGGAGACTTTCGACCTGGTGGTGGAGGGGGGGAACCACTCCTTTGCAAAAGAGATAGTTCAGAATGATACGGGAGAGATTACACTAAATAAAAATTCAAGGTGTGAAAGCTTCATCTTGGCTCGCGTGTCTTCAACACCATGACACCTTATCATTAAGAGCGCTGATTGTTACTTTCCGAGCCTTTAGATGATCAGCCAGAAAGTGCAAACAACGCGGGGCTGGAGGGTGTAAAGTTATTTAAGCAGGCGTTCTTTTTTTCTTTTGGTGCGCAGTCAAAACATTTCACAAGTTAGGAAAAGAAAGTGGTGGTTCCGAAGCTCGGAATGATGGGCTCTTTTCCTCCTCCACCCCCCCACCTTCCATATCAGGAAAGAAATAAAACGCACAATGAGCCTTTATTTCAGGAGAGAAGACTTCAAAATACGTGCCAGTAATGGACAATTTGAGCTTTTCACTGGAAATACTCACACCGCAAGCTGGAAAGGGATTAAAAAGCCCCACGTGGTTGATCTGGGTTTATACTTGCAACCTCCAGTTCCCCACGTATGTTCTTTGCAAAGGTTGGCCTCTAGATGGATGCAAGTAAGGGACCCTCTGGGGCTCGGGCTCGGCGCCTCGGGCAGGGCTGACGTTGGGAGCGCTATGAGCTGCCGGGCAGGGTCCTCACCGGGGGCTTCCTCTGCGGGCCAGGGCTGCCGGGCGCCACCGGGACGCGAGCGCGCACGCCTCGGCCCGGCGGCCGCGCTCCTCGCACCGCCTTCTCCGCAGGTCTTTATTCATCATCTCATCTCCCTCTTCCCCTTCTCCTTCTCCTTTGCCTCCTTCTCCTTTGCCTCCTTCTCCTCCTCTTCCTCCCCCTCCTCCACCACCACCTCCTCCTCCTCTGCCGCCGCCACCTCCTCCTCTTGCATCTCACTGGCCTGGCTCTGAGTGACAAAGACAATGTCCCAGCCTTAACTTTGCAACCACCTTGCCTCCTTCTGGGGTTCAGCAGGGGGGAGGGGGAACAGCAGCAGCAGCCTCAGCATCTCCTCCAGCTTCTCCTTCTGCTCTTCTCGAGCTCTTGGATAATTCTTCCTCTTTTTTCCCCTAGCCTTTTTCCTCATTTCTTTCTTTCTTTCTTTTTTTCCTTCCTCTCTGCTGCACGTTGTTGTTGTTATTAGAAAGGCTTCGCGCACCCCCTGGTGCTCCGGCGTTTTGTGTGGCAGGAGAAGATTGTCTTCCTTCTCTCTTTCTGTCTTGCTTTCTCTCTCCCCCTGGTTGCTCATTATTCAGAGAGAGACACAGAGGGAGGGAGAGAGAGAGAGCGCGCGAGGGAGAGGGAGGAGAGGAGAGAGAAGAGGAGAGAGAGGGGAGAGAGAGAGTGAGAGGGAGAGGGAGGGAGGGAGAGAGAGAGAGAGGGAGAGAGACGGATATCTCAGGTCATCTGCAGCTGCAGCGAGTCTGAGGAGCCGAGGAAGGCAGGGAAGATGGCGATCCTCCATTGCTGAGACCCGGCAGAAGCACATGAGACTCCCAAACAACTTCCACAACAATAACCCGAGCAGGAAGAGGAGAAAGAGAAAGAGGATAAGGAGGCGGTGGGGCTGGAGAACCCGAAGCACCTCCCGGCGCCGGGACGCTTCTTCTGTAAGTTACTGCAATTAACAACCACCTCGGGGTGGTCCGAGTGCTCCGGGGAAGAGAGCGCGGGGTGGTGGAGGCACAAACGCGCTCATTCATTCGGCCAAGGAGGGTTGGAGGAGCGGGGAGGAGAGGAAGTCCCCTGCATGGACTGGCTGTTGGAAGAGGAGAAGAAGCGAGAGAGAAGAGGAGGAGGGGGAGGAGGGAGAGCAGGAGGGGGAGGAGGAAGAGGAGGAGGAGAAGCGAGGGAGGAAGAGGAGGAGGAGGAAGAGGAGGAGAAGGTGGTAGTGGTGGCAGTGGAGGTGGCTGTGCTTTTCCTGCTGGCTGCTGCTCCTGCTGGGGGGAGTGAGCGCGGTGGCTTAATTAATTTCGTGTAGTTCTATGAAGAGAAGAGAAAATGAAAGATGAGTGAGAAGAGAGCTGGAGGCTTAGGACGGATGCTCCGAGTGTGGGGACAGGAGTAGGGACAGAGGGGGGCGGAGGGCGGGAGGCCGGAGACCTGAGCCGAGAGCCAGAGGGAGCGAGCGAGGGTCAGAGGAGGGAGAGCTCCGTGCGAGCGGCCCCGACCTGAGCGGGTTGACCTCTTTCTTTCTCTGTCCCTCTCCTTCCTTTCCCCCTTCTGTCTGCCTGTCCCCCGCCCGATGGCAAAGCCGTGCGGATTGGCAGCCCCCCTCTTCCTCAGGTATTTGGCTCTCTCTCTCTCTCTCTCTCTCTCTCTCTCTCTCTCTCTCTCTCTCTCTCTCTCTCTCTCTCTCTCTCTCCCTCTCCCCGAAGTTGGGATGCGGGGTCGGGATGTGTCGGGGGGTGGCTGCTGCAGCTGCTGGTGCCGGTGCTGCTGGTGAACAGAGAGGCGAGGAGCGGGGGGCACCGGCCGGGTGGGGGGCGCAGGTTCAGGAGCGGCTGAGGAGCTGTCTCCAGGCTGGAGGTTCAGAAGCGTCTGGTGGAGGAGGACAACGGTTTCTGGAGAGGAGAAGCCATTACACACGCTTGGCTCTCCTCTGAGGAAGGGAGAAAGGAAGGCAGGGGCCTGGGGGGGCGTCTCACTCCTGGTGCAGTTCCCAGGGGTCTGCCCTCCTTCCAGGCACGAGGGGAAGCCGCAGCCGCCCCCCATTGGAGCAGCCCCTCTTTCCCTTTCTTTATCTCCCTGTCCTCCATTTGCAAGCTGTCTGCTTTGGTTCCAGTCCAGACTCCAAAACACAAAGCTCCTTCTCACGTTCATTCTCCAGGCTGTTCACCATTCCTGAAGGAACCCTCGTT
Source organism: Homo sapiens (assembly GCF_000001405.40). Classification (NCBI taxonomy): domain Eukaryota; kingdom Metazoa; phylum Chordata; class Mammalia; order Primates; family Hominidae; genus Homo; species Homo sapiens. The sequence continues at coordinate 106,864,607 of NC_000009.12, forward strand.
TTCTTTTCATTGTGGCTTCTAACCTACAGAGAGGGAGGGAGGGAGGCTGCCTGGAGTTCCTTTTATATTCCTCCCCAACCAAGAAAAAAAAAAGTTTCATTTTTAAGCACGCGTCTGGGATGGGGAAAGACCAACCAGTTGGGGCTTTCTCCCAGGGCTCCCGGGGGCTGTGTCTGAGTGTCTGTGTTGGCTGTTTGGTTTGCTTTGGTTTTGTTTCTGGAGGTTGCTTGCAGGTTTTTGGAGGAAGTGACTAGTTTGGTTAAGAGCTGGGAACTGAGTCAGGTAAGCCGTGTCATGTTGTAACTCCACCAGAAAATGGAGGAGAGCGGGTTTCCAGGAGACAAAGCTGAGATGAGAAGTGTTTATAAAATTATGGATGTCTCCATTTTGAAGCTCTGTTGGTGATGGCTGGAGGAGGAGGAGGCTTGCTTGCCTACTCCTTCTCTCTTTCCAGAGGGAAACCTTGTGGTGGTTCCTCACTGTCTATTCATTATGCAAGGAAATGAGGGCTTTTAAGGGTTCCTCAGATTTTTCTCCACCAAAGAGTGCTTTCACAAGTTATTGAGGCGTTTGTTTCCATTTTAAAGTAAACTTTTGGAATTTTTTTTCTCCTTTTGAGTGGACCTGAAGGGTTTTGACCTCCTTCAGGAAAGGCAAGGCAAAAACCTTAAAACAGTTCCACTGAGGTCTTCACACAACTTTAAGCTGCTCCAGGTCTCCTGAAAGTCACCAGGAAATGTGATTTCCTCCTTGTGAAGATGGTGATGGCCCTAAGCTGAGATTTTTTTGAGTTCTAGGGTTTGGTTATCATCATGTTTTGATGCATTGCAAGACTTTATTGTCTGATTTGAGTTGATTTCTGCAAATATAAAAAATAATAAGAATAATCCTGCAAGATCTCAGAGGAACTCTAAGACTGGCTAACACCAGTTTCTCCAGGTTCTCCATTTCTCTTCAGGTCGTTCCATTTGTATGTTAGGCCTTCTTTCAGTTTCTTTGTTTCCCCTTTCCCTTTCCGTCGGCTAATTTTTTCTGTGTTCTGAAGTACTCTTAAGTCTTCAGAAATATCAGTATGTCTTCTTAACAATGTCGCTATGGAAACAAATTTTAAAAACATGATGTCAGTTGAGAAAACCTTATGTCCAGGTATCTTCACCTTTTTAATTGGGAGGAATTTATTAATCATGTAGGAAGACATTTTGTGAGGATAATTTGAAAAAAGGACCCAGTGCTACCCTAGTCCACACACATTGATGGGAGCTCTTCACATATTAGTTTTAGAGAATGTACATAATTGACCCAAGCAAAGAACTAAATCCCGAAATGCTTCAGGAATTTTTAAAAGCCAACCATGAAGATGTTGCTTTTCCATTAGGTGAGGTAGCCATCTTGAGGATGAGGGAAGATGTTGGAAGAATTTTAGATGAACTGTTGAAGATAGGTGAGGAGGGCTCCACGGTGGAATGAAAACTTGGAGGAGATTCAGAACCAGTTAATATATTCTAAGGAGGCTAATTGGACCTTGCTTTCAACTAAGAAGAAATATAGAAAGGTACCAGCTTCAACAGAAATAAGGAACACATTGGTGAGCAACTTACAACAGCATTTTTCTTGCTTTGCTTTCTCATTATGTGTCAGATTTTTTTGTGTAAAGTTCCTTATGTCTAAAATATTTTTGTACATATTGAAGTGGTTTTAGATTCCAGATGTAATTATATTCTGTTGAGTAGCTGGTAGCACTGTCACTCAGTAAATGCACAGTGCTGTATATGACAACATCACATTTTTCAAACCAAACTGTTGTGTCATTAATTGAGGGTTATTGTTCTTCTGAGGGGTGTGAAAGGAGAGGGGAAATACATGGTTCTTTAGCTGATAATTGTCCATGGTCAATGAAGTAAAACCATGTTTGTGCAGACAAAAATGTATGGTTTCAGTTGACGTGTATGCTTATTTAAAAATACTTCTGTTAGATCTCTGCTCCTTTATGAAAAACCTAGGCCTCTCCAAGAGCACTTAAAAAAAATCCTACTTGGAATCATAACTTTTATTATTCATTTTTGAACATTATCTTTTGATACCATTACTTTTGCTCTTAAGTGAAATTTCGCCAATATTATATTTAAATTTGCTAATGCATAAATGGATGCACCAAACTGGGTGTCCAAACTGGGAAGTTCAGTTGCAATGGATAAAGAGTTATTTGGAAAAGTAATTACCAGATAATTTTACATCTAATTAACCATGTATGTTTATGTAAACATAAGTACATTATATATTGATCTTGAAACAAACTTTCATGATATCTTTTTTTATTGTTATTGATAGCAGGACAATTGGTTCATTTGCTCATTTCAGCAGGGGGGAAACATCTGACAATCTGGTTGTCAGTCCAGCTGTTTGACTCTCCACATTTTTTACTTTGCAACCAAATGTGTTGGCGTCTTAGAGTTGAACTTTTCTGGAAGGGAAAAAATAGGTATTTAAGAGGCATCTTGGAATTTGGAAATGCATTCTAACTGGTTATCTAAGACACATCCATCTCTGATGCCCTTCACCAGCATGGCAAACACCATAATATTTAAGGACATGGTTTTTTGAATTTTTCTAGACATACCCATTTGAATTAAGACAAGTATTTTGAATAAACCACCATGAGAGAAATAAAAAGTATTAAATCAGACATTTTCATTTAATGTCAAAGCTCAAAGATCATTTTTGTTTATGAGACAAGTTCATGTGGCTTATTATGCAAATTTTTTGCCATGGCTCTAATATATCACAGGGAGAAATCATGGAGAAATATTTGCGAGCTATGATGCATCCTGCCATAAAAAAATTCTTGTTGGATCCTCACATTGCATAATATTTCTCATATTGGATTTATGTCAGTCTAATTCATTGACCATATTCCCCGAGGAATTGTTTTTTCCCCCTTACTCTTTGGAGTTGGAGACAACTTTTAGAGAAAAAAAAAAAAACAAACTTATCTGCTCTTCCTAATGAATCTTCCGGAAGACAGCAGAAGAAAAAAAATCCAACTCTACTAATGGACTTTAGAGTACTTGTGGTCGGTTTTCCTGAAAGAAAGGAATGGTAAAGTTGCAATGGGAAAGAGTCCTTTTTTCTGTGTGATGGAGTTTAATAGGGTCTAGTCTGTCTTAAATTATTCCTTGATGTTGCAATTACTTGGTTAAGGTAACCTTACTTATCTTCTTTATGGTATGTGCCTTTTTCAGACTTACACTTCACTGCATCATGAAATTGACAAAACTGTATCAGATATTCTAAATTGATAATTGGAGAACAGAGATGCTGTTTCATAATGCCGCAGTCACAAATAGGAGATACATAATGGACTCTTACTGCTAAGGATCTAACATGAATGTATGACTGGGATGATTGGTATATTCAGCAGAAGTGGAGGGAGACTATTTCCATGACTGAAAGCTAAAATCCAGTGAACTGAAAAAAAAAAAAAATCAGTGTGTGTAAAAGCAAGTATCTTGTGAGTTTCACATACTTATGGAGTATGATGGCTTTGAGAGAAACATTAGCTAGGTGTTGGTGACCTATTAATTGATTATGAGAAAACAGAGAGGAGAGTAGATAATGCTAGAAGAAAATTCCTCTCCTTGTGTGATATGCCAAGACATCTGGCAGATGTTATGTTGGGCCCTAAGGAATGGACAGTTTAATTTTAGCCCTTGCAAGGAAATGGGAAGTTCTAAGCTCTTTTAATAGCACAAGTCTTAGTTTGGGGAAGGTTGCTTACAAAAATAAGAAAGAAAGGAAAAGAGGCACTTAGTGTTATGTGGAAGAACTCTAGGGAGTAGGGAGTGAAAACTGAAGTTTCGGGGTGAGGAGCAAAAATATTATTTCTCATGCAGAAATTACCAAAATTATTTTAAAAGTGACAAATATGTACACTGTAAGTAAGGACTATTAGTTATTTAATATTCACCAGGCAGAACTTCCAACTTAGAAGCTAGTTGTTTTAGGCCCTAGATCATTTAGATGAAGTCTCCTCCTTCCACTTGCATTATACTGAAGAGGAAACTGGCACAAAGACATGAAGTGACTTGCACAAGGTCAGAAAGTTCAGTTGTAACCGAGCCAGGCCTAGAACTCAGGTCGGCCGACTCCAGCCTAGTGCCCTTTCCACTACCCCATTGCATTTGATTGTTGAGGGTTGTGAAATAGCTGCTCTCTTCTCCAGGGCCCACAGCTTTCTGAGAAACTCTGTACTCATACACTAGTGGGCAGGAGTATGGATTTTTCTTAGTTGGATTTAACACGTTGGGGAGCCCAGGGTTGAGCGTGGTTTCATTCATAGATCCAGAGCCCAATTTTGTTCATGTGACATTCAGTAAAGTGTTAGCTCCCGGGTTTGTAGCTGTACTTTTCTTTTCATCTTTCCTGCTCTCATCTCTCATTCCATCATCCAAGGGCTTGGGAGCCCTTCTCAAATGCCCTTCTTTGGAAGTTTGTGTGAGTCTATTGCAACTTACAATAGTGCCCACAATTGGACTCTGAGGATCTATTTTGCAACGTGGTGCAGATTTAAATTGGCTCCTTTCAGAGATGCCATTTTGTAATACTGATGAATGGCTGAGAGGGTGAAATCCAGTCTGAAACAATTACTGGTGGTTTTCCAATGTTCTTACTCATTCAAAATGTGCCCTCCGTGTATCTTCTTGGAGCCCAACTCTCTTGCAGACTAATGGCTAACCTTTTCCCATTTTCCCAGTATACATGAAATCATCCTTAAGATGACTTTTAACAACACAGACATTTAACCATGAGCAATGGGACAGTCCTGTAAGGAAGGGTGCAATGGGTTTCCACTTCTGTCTCTTCTTGGATGAGCAAAAGTGATTTTGTAAAGAAGAAGAGTGATGTTTGGAAGTTTCCACATTTTCTAAGCTCCTTCCAAACGAATGCATCAATTTTTAATCCAGGAGGCAGTCTGGAGAAGGTAGTGCTGGATGTGGACTTCTGGCAGAAACACAGTTAACGCTGTAAACAGTTGAACCTCAGTGTGGCACTCCTCCAAATGAGTTGACTGTCGAAAATAAAATGTTCCAGAAGAACTGGGAGAACAGGAAAGAAGTTAAAACAGCATGGTTTGCATGCCAGTACTAAAGGAAGAAAAAAAAGTTTGGGTTGGGAGGGCATTGGAGAGAAGATAATTGTAAGTTGAACTGTCTCTTGGATTTATAAGACCCAGGAGAAGTTTCCAAATGTGGGAAAATGGGTTTTTATGAATTTAGATTGTATTTGCAGTATGCTAGGAAGCTCTTTTGGATTTTTTTTTTCCCCTTGAACTTTGCATTTGGAGAACTGCACACACTGATAAAAGGGAAATCCATTGGAAGCAATTTGGATTTACATTTTGTGCTTGGAAATGCTATCATAAAATTTATCTTTTTTCTAAGTCCTCCTATTCTCATCAGCTGAAGCACGTACAGGATTTTTAAAGTGTTTGGATGTGTGATTCCAACACAAAGTTAATTATTTTCACGGCTTAGAAGGACAAAGGATAGAGTGGTGTGGTGTGAGGAGGTGCTAGTATTGTCACCTACAAATGCATTGCCTTTTACTTCTGGTGAGCACATTACTTGGTGTCTTCAAAGCATTCTTGCCTAATTCCTAGCTGGAGACATTTTTTCTTGAGTTATTCTTGGAGGGAAGGTTTTTTTTGTGTGCCAGGTCATGGGTATTTTGGTATTGATTTCCTTGCTTTCATGTGTTTGCTTGTTCAGTTCACTGCATGTTGCTTCTGGATATTAATAAAATACTTGTGCTGCGCCTGTCCACATCTTACCCCCAACCTTATTCAAAGAGTAGACCCTGTTCTTTAGGGTGAAAGGAAGTTTGACAGGTACTTATTTGTTCAAAAAATAAATACTTGAAGATGAGAACTGTGTAATTCAGGAAGTTATTTGCTAGACCTTCACATAGACAAATTTTAACAAAGACCACACCAGGAAAAATGGAGAAAATTCTACTAGGAACCAATAGATCCTGATTAGAATGTTTTAGGATCACTTAGTAGGAAATTAAGCATTTGCCCAAGATGAGGAAGCGAAGTCTTACCTTTGGGTTCAGCTTGGTTGGAGCACAAAAGGAGCTGTAGGCCCAGGTGAGACAACTGTGTCAGAAGTAATAAAGCCCAGGATTTGTGGAGAGAGCTTAGCCGCCACAGAGCCCAGCTGGGGAAGGCCAAACTCACTCTTAAGTTCTCGTCTGAGCAGTTGAACCAGAACACACGCTAAGGCCTCCAAATTTTGGAATTCTTCTTTTTCCTGTTCAGATTTAAGAAGGTAATGCCATTATTCTTCAGTTTTGCTCATGTCAGCTGAGTGTTTCTCTTTTGAACTGGGAAATGCCAGAGGCTGGGGGGTGGGAGCCGATGTCCTCTAAGGGAAAATTCTCCCCGTTAACACTGCAAATGTGCCTTAACATTGTACTTATTCCTCCAAAAATAATTGTTCAGTGGCACAATGTGGGATACTTGAAAGATGTTTGCTGCACAAAGGTTCCAATACTTACCTGCAGATTAAGAAATGAGTTTCTAAACCATCTCATTTCTATTGCTAATGAAAAGCTTTGGAAGGCACCTGTGAATTAGAGCTCCAGCTGCTATCATGGTAGGGAAGTTAGGCCTTGAAAGGATACGTGGATTAGCCTGTCAGAAAAGCAAACAGTAGCATCAGCACAAGTAGAAAATAGACAAGGTTGTTAAAGCTAACAGGAAAGTAGGCTAAAGCATTGCTGTAATTTTATAGTGGAAATTTGCTGGGAAGGAGTGACTGGTTGGATGGGAGAAGGAAAAGAAGAGAAGCAGGAAAATAATTGACTAGCCAAATTGAAGAAGTCTGTCCACTGGGGAAGATCCTACAGGAAGAAGTAAGGCATTGCTTTTAAGAAAGCGATTATAGCAAGTAGAAAAAGACCTTGTAATTTGGTACCTAACACATGTGAAATATGAAGACCAGTGCTCAGGTACACATTCTTTGGCCAGTTCCTATTGTAAAAAATAGAATTGGGTTTGGAGGACAATTTATGTGACTTTGGGGTTACAATTACAGCCTTTCTGATAAAGGACAGATGGAAACTCAAGGGAACTGGTTAAGTAGGCCTAGGTGGAGATTTTCCTGGAAAACGAACGAAGTAGAGAATAGAGCACAGCAGAAAACAGCTGCATTATTAATGGACAGAAAATGTGATAGTCCTCTCTGAAGTGATCCATAGAGCTTCTCTACCTACACCCTGGGTGTTAGAAGAAATGAAGAACAAAGACATGCCTTTTCAGAGGGGAAAGGAATGGACTATGACTACTACCTGGCGTCAGTTTGGGTTTCAGCCATTGACTTGAGCCAAGCGTCACAGGCTGGTCTGTCCTTCCAGTCCCAGCATTTTAAAATCCAAAATAAGGCCACTGTGGTCCAGAATGTTTAGCCATTCTAATCCCTAATTACATCATCCCTCTGTGTTATGACTAATTAGTCAGCAATTGAGCACCAATCATTCAACCCAGATTGCCATGGGCCTGATGGAGGGTCCTTCGTTTGGGGTACAATTTGAATGCTGGGTTATAGCTGAAGATGACCAAAGATAGATACCAGCTACAAGTACTTATCACCCAGAATCTTTTCTCTTCAGTGGTTTCTATCTTAAATAGTCTTCTCTGAAGACTAATTAGTATTTGATAACAATAAGTGAGAAGGGAGTCTTTGTAGAAGAGACCATTTTCTTTTTTCTTTTCTTTTTGGAGACAGTTTTGCTCTGTCTCCCAGGCTGGAGTGCAGTGGCACGATCTCCACTTAAGCAACTGCTGCCTCCCAGGTTCAAGCAATTCTCCTGACTCAGCCTCCCAAGTAGCTGGGACTACAGGCACAAGCCACCATGCCCAGCTAATTTCTTGTATTTTAGTAGAGACGGGGTTTCACTGTGTTGTCCAGGCTGGTCTCGAACTCCTGAGCTCAGGCAATCTGCCTGCCTCGGCCTTCCAAAGTGCTACGACTACAGGCATGAGCCACCATGCCCGGCCTCAGAAAAGACCATTTTAATTTAAATATCGGAGTTCAGTTGCAAGAACTTCCCCCCTTTCTGCTGTCAATTGAATATTGTCTGTTCTAATACTGGGTAAGAACAATAGAAAATAAATATGATTGCTTCATCAAAAAAATCTGCCAACTCTATAGAGTGGGAATACCACATAGGACCTTAAAAAATGCTGTCTTCCCTCGTGGACTGACTCATAGTTAATACTGGACAACGGTTTTTATTTTTTTTTAACATTTAATATGAACCAGGGACTGTTCATACGGTAGAGGAAACTGAGGTTTAGGGAGGTAAAGTAATTTAGCCAAAGTCATGAGGCTGCAAAGTGGGGGAGCCAGGATTCACATGGAGTGGGGACTGCCTCCAGAGGCCTGGCTCTCAGCTGATGGGACCCGGCCTTGGTTATTACTTAGTCTGCTAATAGCTTATGTTCTTGATGGTTTATCTCTTCCAGTTGCTTATGCCAGGAGTATATCCTTGGAGTTCTAGAAGGAAATCTGAGAATAATGGAAAATTAATTGTAATATATTATTTGATATGAGAGATATAACTTATTGCAATAGCTTGAGGAAGTGTGTTTAACTTAAGAGCGCCCTTTTCTGAATTGTAGAGGAGATGATAGGGAAAAAAAGCAAGACACCATGTAGGGGACACTTTAGGAAATAAACATTTTAAAATTATATCAAACTCAGAAAAAAAGGAGCCACCTACCTGTTATGGCAGGAAGATATGCTGGTGACTTTTTTTTTTTGTAGAAAAGGTGTTGTACTTTTTTTCTTCATAGGGCCCCTTTTGAAGCCTCAGTGCCCTGTATTGGCTCTGGTTACTATCAGCCTGAGAAATGTTCTCAAAAGCTACGCAGATGTTTGAAAATTAGTTCTATTCTTTAATGGTCATTTTTGGAACATGGTGCAGATTCTCTTAAAAGTGTGGGTGCCGATACCCCCTCCACCCCTTTTTGTGATCACCATGTGCTCTATTTAGATCATGGAGATGTGATGAGTGCTTTGGTTTTATTTGCCTGTCTCTGAAACATCACAAGATAGTAAGGAAGTTCATGGATGAGCACAAATGTCCCTAATAGAGTGACACACTGTGCTAAGGGAGATGGAGCAGATCCAGATATCCCTACGGTATCCGAGAGAGTAGCTTTTCTGCAAATGGTGGTTGGACATTAGTTGCTGAATAGACTCTTCAGCCCCCAAGAAACTAGTGGTGGTTTTATAAAATCCTAACATTGCTATGGATCTATCCAGTTGATCTCTGGTCTCCAGACAGACCCATAATCAAAACCTTCGTAGAAGGATAAACACATGTCCTGTTTATAAAGTGTACTAGAGAAGGCCACAGAGTCATCCATTTTTACTTCTCATCCATATCATTATCTACCAAATTTATAAAAACCGTTATTTTCTTAGATAAAGGACTAAAATAGAAAAAAGGCTTAGAAAAAATATATAAAGTGAACAATTGAACTGTGTAGTTAAAGAGAGTAAAATGGAACTGAAGCGTGTTGTTCTCTGGGCAGAATTTCTAATTTAGAGGAATAGGGACTCCATTCAGCCTTGGACAGCGTAAACTGTGACCCTAGGCAGTAGGGCCTAGCATTCTAGGATAATCCCTCAGAGAGCAGCCTGTCTCAAAGACCAGTTCTCAATGGGTTTCTTCAGTTTTCCTTTTAATTCTTTGAGGAAACCTACCCAGGCTACCCTCAGGAACTGCTTTGCAGGAAACAAGGTGAACTGGGTCAACATATCTTTGTGGATACAGTGAGAACTGGGAATTTGCGAACACATTCAATTTGAGGGGCTCCATAGGAGAGGAAGCTTGGGATATGTTCTAAGGAGGTAAACGTAGAAAGTTTATGTATGCAGGCCTGGCAAAGGAATCATTCATTCTCTTGAAAAGAAAACCACATTTTCAAAGACAGATTCTATGATAATTTAAAAAGTACACTGTATAGATCACATAAAATAGCACGTATTTAAGGAGGTGGAATTGTATCCTTCCACTTGTGTGGAAGTTTTTGTCATTCATTCCATCTTCTCCCGTGGCTTTGCCTCCAATTAGCAATTTTGCAGGCCTGAGAACTGAAGTGGTGTTGAAGAACAGATGTCAGCTGTTTGTGAAATTCATCCCTGCCCCATGGTTGACTCAGTGTTTCAGAATACCTCACCCATTCTTTTCTGACCAGTGGCTGTAGCTTGTTAATAATGAATGAACATCACCCATAGGTCCTGAAATTAACAAGTGTTAAATGTTAGGTGATTATTAGGGGAAAACAAGATAATCTAGTCAGTGGGCTTAATTAGGTGGTGATTGCCCAATTGCTGCTTCATGATAATTATATTCATAACCCCATTTCTAGACATCAACTACAATTATCAAAATTGACCCCAGCATAGGTAAGTGTTAGGAATCTTATTTGAAGCAGCTTCTCAACGGTAAATATCTGATGTTTCCAATGTGCTTCTGCCTGTTCTTTCTTCCCCTCTTGCCCCCTTTCCATGATCTTTCCCCCATCTTAGTAGAAAGGTCGTGGCAATATTATTTTGTCTGTGACCATGCACATATTGTATAGCTTGTGTTGGTGTCTACAGAAAAAGAAATTCTTAAGTTTTTAGGGGTCAAGTATAACTGCAAAGCTTTCATAAATCAGCAATAGGAATCTTGAAGGATAAAAATCCCAAATTGGCTGGATTGTTATTTACCTCAGCACATGAAACCTGTTAAGTCGATTGAATATGATTCATTTGAATAGATCTTTTACTTTATAAGGCATAATCTTAAAACGAAAAAGAGAGTCATCTGTGTTTAAGATAATGCCTTAGCAACATGATCACTAAGATTTGAGGGAACTGTTAATCGAGAACTTTTAACTTTATATCACCCCTTCCTTTCCTCCAAATTATGAAATTTGCTGCCAGTGTATTCTAGTATAAAAAAGAACGTGTCATTACTAGGGACGTTGTTTACTGTTTATCTCCCAAATGAAGTCAATGATTTCCAGGAAATACTAACAACAACCTGTATCAGAAGTGATACAGTGTGGGTATGTCAGTGTGACACTGTGAATCACTGGGCCAGATTGTCATTTGGCAGGCTTCCCTTTCTGACATGCAGTTATATGGGAAAATAATGCACTTGAAACTTGCACACCATGGCTGAACTTCAGAGCAACTAAGAACAACTAGGAACTCAGCTACTGTATATATTGCTTTATATGTGTATATATGTATATGTATGTATATGTACACACATGTATCTCTATACATAGAGAAAGATAGATAGATAGATACTCTCTAGGCACTTATTTTTCTCTAAAACATCAAGAGTGCAAATAGTCATCTCTTAGAATTTCTGGGGTGAAAATGCAGTTCTCTGTGCAGGGGTCTCTGTTAAGAAAGTGATGTGTAGTAGGTGGAATATACTCTTTGGGGCCACACAAGCTGAGGCTGAAATTTGTCTCTGTCCATTACTAGCTGTGGGACCTTGAGTAAGTCATTTATCCTTTCTGTCCCCATGATTTCCTACCCAGTAAAATAGAAATTATTATAATTTGAATCTGTAGAACTAACATAAGGATTAAAAAATAATATGTGTCTAAGAGTCCTGGCTCATAATGGCCAGGAAGGAAGAAAGTGATAGTTTCTTCCTTCCTCACTGATAGAGAAACTGAGGCAGAGATCTTCTCCAGGGCTTTGCCCCATTTATCTATGGTCAGTATATTAGGTATTTTGTTCTTGGTCTTAAAGTCAGCTTTTGGAATCCTGCTTGTTTAATTTTGTGCTGTGTGTCCCTTTACTGATGAGTAGTCTTTGCTGCAGTTGTCCATTCCCAGCTAGACTTTATTACATCTTCAACTGATGTTCTGTGGATGAAGCAGCACTCTGTATTGCTGTGTGTGCATTCAGTAGGAGCTTGTAAACTACCCGAGAATGATGCCATTTCCTCTTGGAAAAAGTACATTTATATGGTAACAACGCCTTCAACCTGACCTTGCAGAGCTATTCCCTGGAGTGTTGTAGGGGAACAATTTTTAATAAACATGAAGTTTTCTGAGCTTTTCAGAAGAAAGATGTTATTACTGTTCCTATTGTTTGGCATCATTCTGGCAAAAATGATATGTCGAAGAAAATTGTCCTTATTGCAGAGAAAATATTGGCTGTGCTGTTTATATAAATGTTGTCTGCCTCACTGTTGCTCTACTCACATACATATCTCTTAGCCAGTTTGAGGACTGCCCCATAGCCTGGCTTAGAAATGCTTTGGTTTTCTCTGTGCAAATGTTTATTTCAATAGTCCACATCTACTTGGTCTTACTAATGTACTATAATATCAGATGCTTTGAGACCTCACGGGTAAGGAGACTAATTTTAGAGTGTTTTAAGGGTAGATGATATTTTAAAATGTAGAAAACGTGGAATGGTGTTGGTAGGGCCTAACCAGACTTACCTTATTGGGTCTGGCCAAAAGGACATTCATTGGTAGCTTTATTGGTGGTGGTGGTGGTGTGGTGGTGGTGGTGTGAATGTTAGTGGGAAAGATGAAGAACATGTAAGTGGTTCTTTGGTAAAACCATATAGTGATTTTTCACCTGTACAAGCAAACTACTCATGATTTTTTTTTTTTTTTTTTTTTTTTTTACATTTGGGAAATTTCCAGAGAAATAAATATGTCATTGGAATGTTGTTGTTATTATTATTATTATCATTATTATTACTATTTTTGAGATAAGATCTTGCGCTGTTGCCCAGGCTGGAGTGCAGTGGCATGATCTCAAGCACACTGTAAGCCCGGCCTCCTGGGTTCAAGTGATTCCTCCACCTCAGCCTCCCGAGTAGCTGGGACTACAGGCATGCACCACCATGCCTGGCTAATTTTTAGTAGAGATGGGGTTTCAGCATGTTGGCCACGCTGGTCTTGAACAGGAGTTCAAGTGATCTGCCCACCTCGGCCTCCCAAAGTGTTGGGCTTGCAGGTGTAAGCCACTGCGTCCAGCCAGAATGTTACTATTTTTTAATTATAAATAAACTTTAGAGTTGCCACTCTAACTTTGTCCAGAGCTATTTGAGGAGGAAAGAAAAACCTTGTGTTTATTTACTGGTGTTCAAATCTCTAGGATTCTCCTAAATGAGAGATTTTTGGTCTTCAAAGGGTAGAACTCAAAACTAAAGGAGTAGAGATGTAGCTGTGGCTGTGGCAGTGGTTATTAGTACAGAATGCCCTCAATACAGTAAGAAATATGGGATGAAAGAGTAGGAGCTGAACCCCAGACTCCCTAGGACCCCTAAAAGACTGGGAGTGGGAAGGTTGTCCAGTTGTTTACTTCCTTAAGAGATGTATTTGGGAATGCTACTGTCACATGTGTTCAGTTCGTGACATGTAGGATCCTTGCTTATTTGTGACTACAGAGTAGTGGGAAAGTGATTGGCTGTGGGGTATGACCTGAATTCACTCCCCTGCCTGCCACTTCCTAGCTTTGTGAACCTGGGTCAAGCTCATAATGCTCCTCTGCTCCAGTTTCTTATCTTTAAAGTGGAATTCTCTTTCTGGTGAAGCCTGAGAGGCATAATGTATGTAAAGCATTCAGCACCCTGCCAGGGGCCCAATAAATGGCCATCTCTACCGTTCATTTGCAATGATCAATTAGGGGCCACCCAATGCCTCTGGTACAGATGGCATGCTCTTGCCATTCATCCAATGCCTGGTTTTGCATGCTTAGTTAGCAGTTGTGGGATGATAGAGTTGGAAATAATTTAGTGTCTTCATGTGTTTTATAGAAGCTGTTTATTTAAGGAATATGTGCCCATACGTCTATTCATTCATTGAACACTTACTGAGCTCCTCCTTTTGAGTGAGTACTAAGCACGGCTACAGTATGCCTAGGTGGTCAAACCCAGGGGATATGAGATCTCTCTATCACAGTTGTGTTAGGCTCTTTGTTTTGGTAATTGAGTGATTATGATGGAGATAGGTGTCCTCAGCCACATTCAAATAGCCTGGAGCCAGGGGATGGTGAAGAGTGGCTTAGGCTGTGGGTAGTGGATTCCTGTTTAGATGCATTCATTTCTACGTCTTTGTGTGTATATATTTACAATATAATCTGCTAACCATATAGTCAGTGCTGCTGTGGTTCGTAATCTGGCAGATGATTTAAATATTTACTCCAAAATATCTTGTTCTCTGTTGGTGTGAAGTAGAGTTTCCAGTTATTTTTAGGTCATTTTCATCTTAGCAACCCTGTTGGAGATGAACCAGACATGCTGCTGTAAACTGTCCCCACATTTGGATAGAATTTAATAAAGTAAAGTTTAATGGTTTGGTCCCAAGAGGCAAACAGACCATCTGGTTAGCAGAAGGTTAGGTCAAGTATTGCATGGCTGCTGAGAGGGCCACAAACCAGCCCTGACGCACTGGTAATGTGTCCAGTTGCTGAATGCATTAAGCATTGAAATGGTGCTTTCAGGTCTGCCGAGCCAGCAGTTCTGTTACCACCGCTGTGACGCAGGAGATAATTCAGCTGGGCAAGCAGCAGCATGGGGGTGGATCTACAGTACAGGATGTGTAATGTCAACATGAAGGATTGGAGCTGGCAGAAGGAAGGGAAGCAGTCATTTCATGCCAGTGCAGGAAGCCTAGAGAGATGCTTTCCACCCCCCCCCCCACCCCCCACCTTGTCTCTTGTCCTCTTCTGGAGCTTTCACATTATGTGTTAAATGATTACCTTGTGCATGGTCCATGGCAAAACTTCAGCTGATTTTTCTGCCTCTTTTGGAACCTGTCAGCATAAACAGAGTAAACCACATTCCACACACATGTAGGGCGGGCAAAGGAAAGAGTTTACTGCACAGACTGGGAGGAGGAGAAAGGGCTTCATTAGGCAGGAGCATCTTTGTGCTTGAGATGGAATCCCATTGTATGTCCCTTTGTGCTCAGATTTGAGACCGGCCATCCATTCAAAGCCTGCAATCATCTCGGAACATTGTGCTGCAGCTGTAGTTGGTAGAAGCCTGCAGAATGGTTCCAGTGATTCTGCAGAAGCTTAGCAATTATATAATTGCTATGTAACTGGAGAGAGCCATCAGGATTGTCTAGTTCCCCTGGAAAGAAAGCTTCTACAATTTGAGGGGTAGATTGTTTTCCCTTGTTAAACCTGAAAGCTGATGAGCAAGTACATCATACCACTAGGCTGAAACCAGGTCCTCTCACTGGCATGAGAGGGGAAGAAATTCACAAGTACACTTGGCTGGATATTCAGTGGACTTCACAGCTGTGTTAAAGGGAGAGAGAGCAACTCACTGACTCTTGGAATCGTGGATCCTTGTAGCAGTTGAACATGATAGTTGAATTGTTTCTAATATCTGAGACTGTGTTCTATATGCATTCAAGGCATGGAGTATTCCAGAGCTTTCCTAGGAATGGGACAAACAGAGTTGCTCGTAACCACCAAGAGCCCTCTCAATTTCTGCCGCCCGCTCAGGAGGATTTTCACAGCCTCTCTTGAATGAATACTTGCCTCAGATGCTGATCAGTGGAAGCACTGCAAAGCCTGACTCTTCAGATATTCCCGAATGCTGAAATCTTCTCTGCATCAGCTCATGATTCTGTCTGGGCCTGTGCAGTCCAGGAGCTGGGACAGACTGAACAGTTTGCCTGTGAGAACTTAACAGTGCAGAAATGAATTCCTTCTTTCAGCTACCTTACCACTTGTTTTCCATAGTTGAGAAAACTTTGAAGTGGTGTTGGCTAAATGTAGGTACGAGGGCTGCATTAAACCAGTGAGAAGTCCAAGGCTCCATTTCATCCCGTGTAAAACACTCATCTAAAATTAGCCACATCTCCTAACCCAAGTGTGGACTTTGTGTTTGTTTATGTTAAGTAGCTCTAAATTTCAGTGATCCTGCCTTTCTGGTGTCAGTTTTGTGGAGCTGCTAGAATAGAAAGAGTGGTTGTTGGGATATATTTTTATTAATGGTTTAAGTTGGGCCTTTTATAACTGATACTCACCTATATTTCTCTATTTAAATGTGTTTGTAGTCAGAACTTCAGTATAAGGGAAAAGTAAAACATTTTGGTTCCTTTGTGAATTAAAAAGGAATGTCTAGTAGGCAGTGTGGGGACCTGGACTCCCAAGATGGATTGGGTCCACACATTCCTAGACCTTTGACCTTTATACCTGTACGTTACTCTGTACCTCGTGGGTTTAACTCTGAGGTTGATAGATACAAATAGTTTCTTTAAGAATTCTGATTCCTACAAAACAATATTGGCAGGTTTTCAAGGAGCCAGCCTGTCTCAGCACTGAGCTTTTATTTTGTAACAATTTGGAGGGGTATAGGATCACCCATGGTGACCCTTTCCTGCGTCATTCCAGGCAGGCCTTGGCATGCTTCGCCAGATGAGTAAGGACGAGGACAGTTGGCAGGAGGACCTGCTGAGTTCATCTTGCTTCGTATCTTAGGAACTGGCTTGACCCTGCTCCATCATCAGTGTTTGGGCCCTCTGAGAAACTCTAGACCATCTTTTCAAACACTAGGCTTGGAGATTATTATGTTGGGAGCAGCAGCGTGCCCTCATATGAGGGAGGAGCACTTGATTCTAGCGCAGAGGACACATCGAAGGGGGACCCTTTTCTGTCAGTATTGGTAGGCCTGTGAGGACCTTGGTGGTGAGGGCCATGGTGTATAGTGGAAAGATCGTAGACCTCAGAGTCAGTGAGTAACTGGGTGACCTTGAGGGAATGATTTAATCTTTGGTCCCCAATTTCCCTATCTGGAAAAAAAATCCACTTTGTAAAGTTCTTTTGAGGAATAAAGGAAATCATGAAAAGAAATCTCTGGTGCAGAGCTTGACATATAGTAGACACACAAAAAATCCTAATTTTCTTTCCTCCCATCTTTGAGTTTGTATTAAACACTTTCTATAGGTAGAGCACTGTTAAACAGTGACTATCTGATTAGAAGTCAGAATATACCTGAGTTTTACATGAAATCCCAATTGAGGGCTCCTTGAAGCTTGTACTGGTAAAATTGACAAACATATACCTTCTTGGCTAAAGAGGCTGAGCAATATTTTTTATTATATGGTGGCTTTTCAAAGCCAGTGTGCTCCCCTATGAAACATGACTCCAAAATCTGGTAAAAGGGAAGCAAAGTACCTTACCCTCTGTTTGTGCTATCTTGAACATTCTATAATAGATTATATATTAAATTCCTTAGATGAAGTTCTGGTTTTTTGTTTTGACTATTGCTACACGACTAACTCCTCTATAGTAAACCTGAAATTTTCCAGGAATAGCACAGATGTAAGCTATTTGATTATCTAGAATCCAAATGTCTTAACAGTTTTAATGTCTTACAAGCCTTTTTTCTATCACCTCTAGTCCAGTGTGCAACTCTTCATGTTGGTGTGCAGGCAGCCTTATTGACTGGTTTCAGGGAAAAAGATCTTATTCAGTTAAAATTTAGCTGATCAACTTTGAAGGCCAACCACTGATTTGTTTCATAATGAGTTCCTGAACAGGACTAGACTAGAAGCTACAGAAAGGCAGGCTGAGTCTCCCTTGCTCACTAGTGCCTTGAGCAATGCCTAAAACAGATGTACACAGTCAAAATGTATGGAGTCTGTAAACCAAACCTAGCATTTTTAAAAATGTCATATTGCTCCTAAATATCTGTTCCTTAAAAGTGCCTACATATCTGAAACAGAATAGTCTCTTAGTTGCTTCTGAGCAGTCATTTCTGCCTGAAACATCGCTAGATTTATAGCATTCAATTAAAAAATGAAAGTTAATGTAAGTTCTCAATCAAAGAAAACTACCCATCTCTACAATCCATATTATGTACATTTTGAAGTAAGAATGTCTAACAGTCTAGGTTAAAGAAGCCAAGGAAAATTTGTTTGTCGGTAGCTTTTGAAAGATACTAATGTGAGGATGACATTTGACTAGTATGATCCTGAATGATCTTCAGTGCATTATAGAGTTAAATTTCATAGAATTGAGTCTGAAACATTGGATAAGAAAAATTCAAACTCGAATATTCAGTGATTCAAGGCCATTGGTTCTGGAGGAAACTCATTTGCGGTTTTATGTGAAAGAGGAAGACAGGTCTTTTTCCAAGACTTTCTTTGACCTATTAAGTCTAAATGGATGGTGGCATGTATTTTGTAGGGTAAATTGGTGGTATGGAAGCCTCAAGGAATATAGGGAAAAACGTTATGGAAAAAAATGATGAGTATGTAGTGTTTCCTATCAATTTAACAAAATTGGAAGGATGAAGCAACGGAACCAGGATGATAGTCATGTTCTTTGAAGATGGTCAAGCAGATTCAGAAAACATCCTTCTTCACCTTTGACTTTAGTTCTTGAACATTTCAATGGAATGATTTAGATCATTGAAAGTCTACTATGTGCAGAAGCCTTCTAGGTATTAGGTGACCTTGCAGTATTAAAGAAACCCATGGGTCCTGTTAGTCCCAACCTCACTGAAGGACATATTCTGAAGAGCCAGCTCATTAAGCAAGCTTTTGAAGGGTGTGCGCTGCAGAGCAGTTTCCTGTTATTTGGTTAATGGTTGACCTAGTTCTAATGCCATATGCTTCCTGGAACGCATTCTAATATAAAGTATGTGTTAAAGCAAGACTAGGATAATAGCGGGAAAGTCAAAGCCTTTCTAAAGCAGAGACCATATTAATGCTGGCCCAGTGAAGGCAGAATAGTGTGCGGATGGAAAATGAAAAGACTTTTCTCCTCATGATCCTGTTTGGTAATTCTGATTTTAATCCTCACATTTTATCCCAGTTCATTCTAAGGAGTTGCATTTTCCCCAGAATACCGTATACATAAGGCCTGCGTCATTAGTTCATTTTTCAGTGAATGCTAGGCCAAGGTTAGTGTTGAAGTACCCTAAGTAAAATTATTACTGCAAGGAAAGATTAGATTAGAGTTGGCTAATGGCAGGTGATTTTGTTTTTGTGTTATTATTTTTGTATTGTAAACAGGGGATTAGTAAATCTTTTCCTCTGAAGTTTGGATGCGGTTCAAAGCTAAGATTGAGGCTCCTTTGGCTTATTTATCCTTCTACCTGGAATCAGCAGCCCTGGCTTGTTCATTTAGATGGACAGGGGAGCCTACGCAAGTCATGGGGGCTGGTGAGCAAACTCTACACCAGGCACACAAGTGTTTGTTTTAACAGCTTCAGAATGTGAAGAATCTGTAGGTCTAGTCTGCTAATTGCTGGATATTTGGGTGGCAATAGAGGAAGCTGTTATGCTGTCTTCATTGCTCATAAAAAAATGTTTAAGCAACCACAAGTGTGTATATATGGTGGGGGAAGGGTGGACAGCTCCCTTTTAAAAAGTTTTCTTTCTAAATCACCATAAACTTGTGGTATGCAGCAGTGATTCCTAAACCAGGCTGATCTTCAGAATTATTCTGAGAACTTAGAAACAAAAAGGGATTTATTAAAAATAGACTTTCAGGTTCTACCACAGGAGAGGAATTCATTAGGTCTAGGGTAGGAGCCTAGAATGTTTATTCTTAGAAGCCAGGTTTGGGAGCCACTGGTCTTGGTATCATTAAGGAAGGGAGGAAGAAGCAGCCACTGTGCTTGAAGAGTTGACATGCAGGAAGTAGGAAAAGGAAAAGAGTTGCTGTCAGAACTTGATATTTGTGGCTGCTAATAATTTGAGCTATGGAATAGGCTTTCGTCTTTTCTTCTCTAGGAATTTAGTACCTTCAGAGCACCTTAAGGGTACTGTATACTGAGTGATTTACTCACTACTGTGGTTACTGGATACTGAGTGATTTAGGTTTGGGAAATGTCATCTCGGTGACAGGCTACATACTGCAACCACCACCATCCACCTCTGCCCTGTCCCCTTCCTCCCACCATGGAGGCAGTGGAAACAGAATATCTGTCATTCATCAGTTAAATTGGATGCAATTTTTTCATATTAATATATTTGGCAGAAACAAAGGAAACACATTATGTTGATTTCTGTATACAAAGAAATTGCTGTGAATTCACCCAAGTACATTTTTGGTTTTTTTGTTTGTTTGTTTGTTTTTTCTATTGACAATAAGAGATGCACTTGTTGACCGAGGACTTGTTCCATATGGCTTCCTGCCTGGCCTGGTTTGAAGCTGTTGCTTCTGATATTGGGCCACTGCTAACTGACCTAGTTGTAAATTAGAGTAACGTTGGCTAGAGGATCAACACGGTCTAGGGTCTAATAGTATGCCTGATGTGTAGTTGATCATCAATGCTTATTAGTGAATGACTGAGCCAGCTCAGTAGATGTTTCTTCAAAAGATAAGAAGTAACTTGGAGAGGTTAAGATTCTGCTTCAAAGCAATGTATGTGTTCAACATAACCTTTCTAGAGAGATTTCTGCTTTAATCTCAATAAAAAGGAAAATGGCCCTGTTGCAAAATTTGGCAGGTCAGACACTTCAGCTTCCCAAGAAAATGCAAGGAATTTATTTATTTTCTTTACATGTTGTCTACTCCTAAAACAACTATCACTACTACCATTAAACTCTCCATATACATTAAAGGAAGTGCCTCTAGAATAAATGTTGTTAAGAGAATTTAATCTTCACTTTCCTTCTAACTTTAAGAGCCTCATGGGAATGAAAAGAATGTTGTTTTAGAAGTAGAAGAGAAGAAACAATTGAGTAGAAAAAGAAAATAATTTGAGAAAACTTGTCTGGTTGACAGTAATTTTTTAGTAACAGAAAGCAGCAGTCATGGCCCAAGAACCTGTGGTTCTTGGTTGTGTCCTTGCCATGCTTAGAAGGTTCAAGAAAGGGAGTATAGTCTCTTTAAAGTTATTTTGAGGAGTTGGACACTACCTACTAGGTTCCTAATGCTTACCCAAGTTAAGAGGTTGAAGTGCCTCCAAGACTTTAAGTAGCAGCTGAACATGTGATCTTGTTAACCCTGAGATGTTGCTGAAAAGTGACTCAGATCACCGTGGCAAACAATCCTGTCCAGTTCCAGCTGCCCCAGCAGAACTCAGCATTAGGTCACCCTTTAGGCGTATGGTGCAGAGCTCATGCTACCATCAAGACTTTAGAACAAGGACAACTTGAAGTGGCTATCTTGCACATGGGACTGATGTTGAGGACTGCTTGATGTTTTGGAGCCCACCTGATTCTTAAGAGTTTCCAGTTCCTCTATCCCTATTCCCTGTCATCACATAAACCACTTGGAGAGAAGGGGAGGATGCCAGAGAGAGTCATGTTCTGATAATTATTTGCTCTTTGGATATTTCCTCATCTAGATAGACGGGACTTTTTGTTTTCCCCAGGAAAAGGTAACGTATGCTCAAGGTAGCCTTAAAAAAATGTGTGATGCCTATTTTAAATAAAATAACAAACTAGAACAGTTTGTATTTTATTAAATAATAATCAAGAGGTAACTCATACCCAAGAAGTGGGTTTGTTGGCCTTAGCCTGATAGGTGGTAGCCACATAATGACTCATTGAGCACTACTGACTTAGTAAAAAAGAAAAGTAGGGGTGGGGTGGTTAAGAAGGTGGCTGGGATTGTTACCTCACTGGACCGCTCTTTAAACTTTCTCTGTCTTTTCATGACTTGGGTATGTTTATGTAGATCCAAAATTATTTTAAAGTTTGAAGTGTCTTTCTGTTAGCTGTGTGAATGTGCTGCCTATTTCGAAAGTTGATAATGACTCAAGGGTATCCAACTCTCAGGATTCAAGCCACTGCATGTTGGCAATGTAGTAGATCCTGGTTTTAAAAATAAAATGCCAGGATGCCACCCTGAGGATCCAGACATAGGCTGTGAGCACATTTGAAATCCACATCCTCAAATATACAACAATGTCAGCTACAAAAAAAATAGAAGAGATAGGGTCTGAAAAGGAAGGAGCTCCTGTCATCCGCAGTCAATGTGAAGAAACTGGTTATATGGACCTAGGAAATCATCCCACTTAACCCCTTCATTTTACAGCTCTGGAAAGGCTGAAATGATGTGTCCAAAGTCCACAATGTAGGAAGTTAGTTAAGGAAGCCTGAAATGGAATATCAGTTTTCTGCCCTGGTGATCCATGCTTATTCCACTACAACAGTGTTGGCAGATAGCTTCTATTTCTCGTGCCAATTTTGATTGATTGGTGGAGAATGCCTGGAGCTTCACTTTGAGGATTCTGTGCCTTGTCTAGGCTTGTTGGAAAAGAGTGTGGAGATCAAGCAGAGAAGTCTGCAATAGGCGGGAGAGGGTAAATGACAGGCGGTGGCACTTCCCTATACTTGCTGTCCCTTACAATTATGTGACTTAAAATTACAGCCTTACTCTTTACCAAAACACTTTCTCCCTTGGTGTTCATGAAGACATCCTATTTCCAAATGTTTTCAAACAAAAAAGAGAATATTTAGTCAAGGGCAGAGAATCTCATTCAGAATAGCTTGTCCAGGTGATTTATCCAGGGTAACTAAGTTGTTGAGTAGCAGTTTGAACGAATGATAAGGTTTTCACCATAAGTTTTATAACCTATCATGAAGAGCTGTCTTTCTGCATTGTTGGTATTGTCTAACCCTGATAAGGCTGAGGAGTCATTCATCTGTTTCACCACCACCTTCTAACATGTTGTTCTTACATGTTATCCACAGCTGGCTTTTCCTTGCCTACATCCTCCTAGGCCATCTACTAAATCCTCTCCCTCCGTAAATGGAAGTATAAAAACAGTTTCACAAAGGTCATAATTTGCCCAGGATAATACAGAGCCCAACTGGAACCTTGGTTCCCTGACCATCAGTATTCCAAGATACTTCCTGACAGGTTTCCTACTTATTACAATAAAACTAGAAGGAACCTTTGAGGTTATTTTTTTAATGTTATCTTATAGCCAGAGAAGTCGAATCCAAGAATATTTAAGGGACTTGCTCAAGGTAACGAAGTTGTTTAGTAGCACAAACACCCTCTGGATCTTGAAAGCTAAACCCACATTGTATATACATCTATTTCTTTCCTTTCTCTCCTTTACTTTAATGAGACAAATGAACTGTTTATTGTTGAATTCACAGGGGTCATGATTGCGTTGCAACATACTAGAATCTCTAGATTTCAAATAGAATGATGAAACTGTGATTAAAAAGGACTTTTTGGGTTATCGTTACATAGTTTATGTAGTACATTTAGAAAGAAAGACTGATAATAAATTTTCTCGTAACACGACCCTCACAAGTGTAATTTTGGAACCCTTTCTACTTCCAAAGACAAGCTGTTGTGAAGATGAATGTGGGAGATAAATGTGCCTGGCAGTCTAAAGCATGCCATGAATTCGTGGTTGTCTAGCCCAGTGCTAGGTACATGATAGCTGTTCTGTAAATGTGGATTTTTTTTTTTTTTTTTTGAGACGGAGTCTCCCTCTGTCGCTCAGGCTGGAGTGCAGTGGCGCGATCTCGGCTCACTGCAAGCTCCGCCTCCCGGGTTCACGCCGTTCTCCCGCCTCAGCCTCCCCAGTAGCTGGGACTACAGGCGCCCGCCACCGCGCCCGGCTAATTTTTTGTATTTTTAGTAGAGACAGGGTTTCACCGTGTTAGCCAGGATGGTCTCGATCTCCTGACCTCGTGATCCGCCCACCTCGGCCTCCCAAAGTGCTGGGATTACAGGCGTGAGCCACCGCGCCCGGCCAAATGTGGATTTAGATCTACCACCAGAGCTCTGTCATGGTTATCTTTTTATGTACGAACTGACAATACTTTGCCCTGAATAGGGTTAGTGTTTGGCAGGGAGGAAGCTATGTTTCACTGGTAGAGCAGTCTGTTAACGTCTAATTTGAGATGAATGCTATTGATAACAGCATAGAAAAAGCTACTGTCATTTCCAATTCAGTTGCATCCATTTGCCCATCTTGGCCAGTTTGGAAAACATAACTGGGGCTCTTTTTTGGCGTCTTCAGTATCAGATAGCTCCGTATATGCAGTGCCACTGTGGTCTGTTGCCATTGGCTACTCCACATCTGTCACTCTTCCCACCGTATTAGCTAATAATGAGAGAGAGTTAACCTAGATTTCTAAGATCCTGGTGTTCAAAAGTGTTGACTCTTGGACCTCTTGAGGAAGTAGGCAAGGTGGGCCACCTTGGAGCTTTTATCCTCTGCTGGAATATTTCCTTTTGAAGTGCCACCATTTATAGAATCATCAATTACAAACCTTTCCCATGTTCCTTCTGGAACCTCAATCTAACCTTGAGCCTTTGTTTTTGGAAGATAATGGTACAATTTCTACACAAAACTGGGAACAAACTACTTTTAATTCCTTTTCCTCTTAGTTGTTTCAGCAGAATGATCCCCTTTCACTTTAACAGAAAGATTCTCTTTCTAGCTTAAAATATTCTGGATATGCTTTAACTTGCCTTGGGGTCATAGCACACATCTCCCAGGACTGATGAGTCTTGTCAGTTGCCCCAGGGTGAGAACTTTAATAAGCAAATTGCACACACCTGGTTTTGCAAAATATTGGCCTAATGGGGCACCTAGGTGGAAGTCAGTAAGTATGTCCACTCCCTATGTACACACCCTTCCTCCCCACCCCTTTTAAAAGGGAGGCCTCAGAAATGCTACCTCCCCATTTATCTTGTAAAACTTTCCTGTCTCTCCTTCGCTGTGCTCGGGTAGCTCAGAGGGTTGTGATCGTTAACGAGCTCAGGGTGTTACTGTCACTGCTGCTGTCTTGTGGATTTGAAAGTAATGCCGTGATGGGATGTGGTATAGGTACGGGGGAGTCTGGTTAAAAGGGAACAGGGCTGGAGAACTCTCTTTGTCAGACTGTGATTCCCCCTGCTCTGCTCTTTGATTTGTGGCTGCCATTGGTGTTTACACAGCCTTTCCCCGCTCACACTTTCCTTGGTTAGTTGAAAAGAAACAGCCTGTTTTCCTGTTACTGAATGCTGGACCGTGGGCTTACTTGTTTTTTACTCTTTTTCATTCATTTGTTCATTCATTTAAATACTTACTGAGCATTTGACTGCTTCCCAGGCTTTGTGCTAAATGTTGGCTCTACAGAAATGAAAGACCTAGACCCTGCCTTTCAGAGGCTCATAATCTAGTATTTACATCTCCAGTTGTCAACAGGTCTAACACATTACCACCACCACTAGAAGTGGTGCGTTTTAATGCATTTTATTTGGCTTATGTACTATCTTTATTTGCTGACGATCAACTCCCCCAAATAAAGCTATTTGGATATCTTTCTTGTTATCCATTCTTTCAGACATATTGGCTTACCCAGGTGATTAGAGTGCAGGGTAACTGCCTTAAGAAGCTACAGTGGCATTGATACTTACACATATCCAGGCCAACTAATAGGTGTGACCATTTCTTTGTTTTATGCTCTAGTGTAGAGCTTGACTCCACCTTACTTTCCGGCTGCCATCCAGTTAACATACCCACAGGATTCTTAGACTAGGCATACATCATTGTATATATTCTGCCTAAAAGTTTGTAAAATCTAGTGGTGGCATTTAGCTCTTTTGGCAATAAAAACTATATGTGAGAATTTCGTGGCCTTGACTGAGCTGTGTATGGCCTCACTCTTCAATTCTGTTGTCAGCCTATGTTCCACAATCATTTGTGTGTGTGGACCTCAAGAATTTCAGTCAACCCGGCAACACATGCAGTGCCCCTTCCGGGAACACTGGTGATCTTCTGGTCTCTTGGTTTGGAGTTAATTAAACATTGTCGGGAGAATTCCTTCATTTCCTTCTGGAGTCCTTTTTGGGCATACAAAAATCTAGCACTTGAAGCCACTTAATCAAATATCATATCCACACACCTGCAGTTCTTTCTCTGTGTCCACAAACATGGTTTTACACTTGGATGATGTAGTTAGGCTCAACTCCATTTGTAGTGAGAAACATTTGAAGCTTGTCCCCACTCAACAATGATGATGCACTTAGGCTTACCTTCGTAATATGGGTAAATGTCTCAGGTTAGCCAAATGTACCTAGGGTCAGAGGGCATATGCTCTGATATGGAATTTTGGAGGTCATTCCCTGCCTTTGTCCTCTGCTCTAAGGCTCATGTCACTCGCATCATGCTGTGACATGAAACAATATTGCATCGTAGGGAGTGCATAGTAGACTATGTTGTTCAATTATCATGAGATTACCACATACTCTTGCCTGGAATCTTGCCAGCAATAGTGAACAAAGAGATGACCCAAGCAACTTTCTCACTTTTATTCTTGAAGACTAAATGGCATCCTTAAAATCTGATGGTTTTCTTTGTACCTTTCTGGTTGAGTAAAGAATAAGATAGTCTTTTTCTTTTTTGGAAAAATCGTATGGCTAGTACAGGAAATCAAGGAGATTTTTAGCTAATTTAGTAAAAAAGTCAGAGGTGGAACAGAAAATACACCGGCTGAAAAAGGAGATGATTGATTTCTAGGAAATGGGAGATTGTTTGGTATATTTACAGTAATGAAGAAGAGTTCTTCCTGGAACAAAAGTACTGAATAAATAACAACAAGAGACAAAAAAGAAAAATGCATTTCCCTGGTACACAAACCTTGAAGCTCATGCTTTTTGCCATTAGGAATTCTGAACATGTCTTGAATTCTTAGACTTTCTTGATTTTTAAAATCTAATATTTAATTCCAAAATAATTTTTATTCATGTCTGCGTTTTCTTTGTTTTCCCCCTGAGTTATCTGTGTCCTCTGAAAGTTTAAAAACAAGTGATTTTTTTTTCTCATCTTGTTGGCGGAGACATACAATAGGCTGCCTCTCCCCTTCTCTGTGGAAAGAATGGAAACATAGTAAGTGGCCAGAGGAGCTCCATACGGATTGACATTCCTTGCTTCTGCTTTTGAAGTTAAGATGGTCACGAGAGAGAAAAATATTTTTGGTTCCAAGCCTAAGAAAAGGACATTCCTTTTAGTCTTGGCATTCTTGTTTTCATGGTGTTGATTTCTCTTTGAATTATCATTAGTACCATTAATAAATCACATCTGAACGTGAAATCACTTTTGCAAGTTCTTCCCCTCTCCACACCCTTGATTATAGAAAAGGTGACGTTTCTTGATATTTATCTGAAGTAGCTTAGAGTATGTTTTCCTGGCTTTTTGTTCCCCCCTCTGGATGGGTTCCCATTGTTGATCAAGCATATTCAAGAGAGTTTTTTCCCAAGAGTCCTGAGAGACCCATCCATGCATTCTATTCTGTTAAACAAGGAAAATAATAATAATAATGTTTAGCTTTCACCTTGCTTTAGAGAGAGAAATCTCAGAAGAACCATTTTCCTTTCAGGAGGATTGGGGTTCTTAGGTTAAATTCCATATTATACAAATTCCCTAATGACAAATAACCTATGCAATCAACAATCTTTCTTTTAAATGTATTTCTCTATTGAAAGAGCAGGGGATTCCATTTGAGGCTGTTGATTAAGACATGAAGACTAGGTCTAAAATTGGTGGTGGCCCAAGGTCATTGGTAGAACTAATGGACCATTTGAAAATTATTAGCAGCTGGTTTAATAGAGTTTTAATAACTACAGCTGTGAGAAAATCCAAGTACAAGGTATTTGGAATGTTCCCTCTGAGGTCCTTTCCTTTTGTTCTATAATAATCCTGGCATCCATTTAACGAAAGTGCAACTCAGAAGATTAGGTAGCTATATACGTAAGCATATCATGCAGGCTTTATTTGCTTTAGGTTTTTACCATTAAAAATATTTTTAGGCATCATCAAACTTGTCACACAACCTGCACATCCCCATGCCCCACTCAATAACACCACAATCTCAGGGTCTCACAGTGTTGGAGAATTTCCATGGCTCATCTAAGAGTTCTTCTCACTTAACATTTTTTATTGAAAATTTTTACCGTATCTAAGGATTTGTGGGGTTCAATTTGCCAAACTCCAAGGCAGTGGAAAAGAAGACAACTGCATCAAGTCAGTTTCTGGTTTTATATAGTTTAACAGAAGAATAATTTGCTTAGATCTTCGCCTTCATATTTGGAGGCATATACTCACACACACACACATGCACACACACACGCACACACACACACACACACACATGTTATGCATAGATGAATAATATTTAGTCTGCAAAGAAATAGGCCTGTTTCCTCCGTCATCTGTACCTTGCTAACCCAGAGACTTGACATGGAGGAGGAATGCAGAGAGCCTTTCACCCTTAATGGATTCCACAGCTGTGAGTCACCCTGGCCCCAGGCTTCTCGCCTTTGCCTCATCCCATTCCTGCTCTCACAGTCAGAGGTCTGGATCTCCAGTTACTGACTTTGGAACTAGGGGGAAGATGACACAGGTGACATAAAACAAGAGCCCCCTTCTATATCTCAGAGCAAATTCCTGAAATATACTACCAAAACATAAAAGTGTGGACGTCAACTTTAGACAAATCCTTGCCTTACATTGATTTGCAGAGCTCTTTAGAAATCAGACCATGGCTTTCAGTATACATTATATAAATGTGTTCTTCACAACACGATGCCAAGAAGCAGATGTGCTCTCTGAGACCCACAGAGGTCAAGCAACTTCCCCAAAATCATAGCTGGTTGATTGCCAGGACAGAGACCCAAACCTTGTCTTCTGACCAGCCCTTTCCAGTACACCATGGATGACTCACCCACAAATGACAAATGCTTTGTAGTCTTTTAAAGGAAGTTGGGGATATTCAGGGGACATCCTCTAACCTTGTGAGAATGTATCATCATGGAAGGAAATCACCATCCTTTTCATAGAGTAGTCCTTGGAGTCAGTTGCTGAGATGGCTTGCTATGGCTTTTGCAGGATGGATTTTAGTGATGATAAAGGACATGGTAAATATTTGGTAATATAACAAATGCCCATGGAACTTGTAAACAGTACTATCATAATTGTTTCCATTTGTCTTAACCGCACTCGAAGCGATATCTCCTAACTCATCCCCAAACTAATATGTCGAAAGCAACAGGCTCTGATGGAGAGGGAAAGGGGTAATGCTAACAGTACTCAGGAGACGGCAGGAACTATATTTTCTAAGAGTCAGATTCCCTGCTATTTCTGTTGTCTCATTTAATCCTCACTATATTGTTGTGCAGTGGATGTAATTTTATTGTTATTTCTATTTAGCATATGAGAAAACAGAGGCTTTAGACAGGTTAAGTAACTTGCACACTTGTACTACGTGGTAGGTGTCAAAAAACTGGGATGTGAACGCAGGTCAGTTGCGCTCTATGCATTGTGAAGTGCTGCCTACAAACCTCTTTGAGATTATTGAGAAATGTGATCCTGACATTTCTGGAGGACTAGAGAAGTCCATGAAAATATATGGCTAGGAATTACTGGCAACAGACTATGTGCAAACTGACTTTTAGTATTTCCTCATTTAATCCTTGTTATAATCCTATGAAATAGTACCATCTTTACACTTTCTACAGTGAGGAAATGGAAGCAGAGAGAGGTTATACAACTTGCCAAGCAAGATCTGACCATTGTTAATTGATAAAGACTGGATTTAAACCGGTAGGTGGGCTGCAAGCCCATGCTCCTCACTGCCATACTGGGTGCTGCTAGGCCGAGGTTCAAAACAACCCTTGTTGGCTGAAGGTTTTTTTGAGCTGGCTCAGCTCTGGGGTTGGTGCATTCTGTAAATGATCAGTTTGACAGTGTAGGTAGTAGAGACATGCTGCTTTAAGAAAGAACTTTGTATCTCTATTACAGAGAGAAGATATAAAGATATTAGTTCAGTCTTCCATAACACGATATAACAGACTTTTCATTTTTATGCGGGAGGGATCTCTAACTCTTTAGTCTTTATCTTAAGGAAAATGTAAAGGTATTACAGGGTTGTAAGCATGACAACAGATGTGATTAGATTAGCTTTTTAAATCTCTCACTCCAGATGTTCAGCTGCATTAGGTAACTACCTCAAGGTGAGTACCAATGAAAACTCTTAAATAAGTACTTTGTTCAAAGGAATCCTTCAAGGTTTTCTAGGTCTGTGCTGTCCAGTGTGGTAGCCCTGAGCCACAGGTGGCTGTTGAGCACTTGAAACAGTGAAACAGCCCTTGAAACAGTGCCTGATCCAAATGGATATGGTGCTGTAAGTCTAAAATAAACTGAATTTTGAAGCTTATTAGAAAAAAAGGATGAAATATCTCATTAGTAAGTTTTATATTGATAAATATTGTAAGTTTTCTATTGATAAATATAAAAATATTAAGATAATATTTTTGGATATATTAGGCTATGTGGACTGTGTTATTGAAGTTAACTACACTTGTTTCTAGCTGCTAGAAAATTTAAAATTACATACATGGCTGGCATGATTTTTTAATCTGACGCTGCTGGTCTAGGTAATTTCCTTGCTCTCTAGTTAAATAGGAAATTTATGGGAATACCATTAGCATAGGTTGATGCACTGCTTCTGAGTACCCTTTGTTTAAACTATTCCAACCTAAGGTCTGTTGCTTCTTGGATAATATTCCATACCTTTATTGGCACTGTTCTTTTAAAATTCAGTTAAAAGTATCATTTTCCATTTATTACCAAAGAGTAGACTGTTCTTGACATATGTTAGAAAAAAT
Source organism: Homo sapiens (assembly GCF_000001405.40). Taxonomy (NCBI): domain Eukaryota; kingdom Metazoa; phylum Chordata; class Mammalia; order Primates; family Hominidae; genus Homo; species Homo sapiens. The sequence goes on from NC_000009.12 coordinate 106,895,241, forward strand.
TGAGCTTAGACCACAGCTCATTAGTTAACTCTGGATGGGTCAGAAAGTGGTGACCTGGTTATTAGACAGAGTGCACCAAGCATTAGCTTCTGCCCGTGCTCCCTTCTAAATATCATGTAGGCTTGACCCCTCCTCTTCATCCCCAGTGCGTCGTCTGGCCCAGGCTTCCTTTATCTCTTCCCTGGACCATCTCAGCAGCTGCTTAGCAGCCTGTTTCCCACCATCCTCTTCACCTCTAGGAGTCCCTCATGATGCTAGCAAAATAATCTTGATAGGGCACAGCTTTCGTTATATCACATTGCCCTGATTAAGGATGATAAGAGATCCCTGTTTCTGTCCGAATGAAGGGAGGGAGGGAAGGCTCTGACATTTGAAACTGGATAGATCTTACGTTATTTAATCCCTATGAAATGGATATTTTTTAGTCCCATTATACAGGTCAGGAAGTTGGAGGTCCTGTTGTCTTTCTTTGCTAAAACCTATGTTAGTTCTAGTGACCTGTGCTGATTGCTAGCTTTCAAGAACATTCATGGAAACAAAAACTTGGAACTCCTGTAATGCCATCTTTTTGGGGGTGGGAATATGTATTGGGTTCTTCTTTCTTACATATGTTCATGGAATTATTCATAGACAAACCATTCAGTCTGGTTATGATGTTCACCTCCCCTCTACATCCTGGTTTTATTTACTTATGAGAAGAAATGCAATGCAAAAAAAACAAGAACATTCATTATCTAACCCGCCCTTTCTAGCCTTAAATCATGTCCTTTTCTTTCCCAATGGTCTAATCATAACTGCCCTCTCCATCTCTTTACTTGGAAACTGTACCATAACAATCTATGCCTTATTATAGAGTGTTTGGAATTCTTCATTGTCTGATTTTTTTAATGTTAGTCTCATCCCAACTATATTTTTAACTTCCATGAGAAAGAACATGCCTTATACCAGCCTTCTGTCCCCCTCATTGTTTTTGTTTTTCTCTCACGTCTAGAACCATACTAGCTACGTAGTAGGCACTCAAATGTTTAGTTAGTGGATGGTGCTGGCATGTGGCAGCTGGTCAATAAATATTTGTTTTTGGCTCAATCGAAAATGATTTTTTTAAAAAATGAGGGCAGAGAGCTTCAGATCAATGATTCCCTCTTCACCAGTCTAGATGTGAGGTAGAGTGGACCTTAGCAATGACAGGACACTTCTAAGCCAGACTCAACCTCATGGCGTCTCAGATTTCCCACCTAATCTCGGTTGCAGGATGAGGTGGTCATGGCTAGTAGTCCATATAGCTCCAGAAGGTAATGGGTTATATTGCTTCTAATATTTCCTGGAGTGACATTTAAGATGTTTATTTGTGTTTGGGGGATAGAAGGTAAAGTATATAATCCCCTGAGGACAGAACCTGTGTCCTCCTTAGGGCCTCCTAGAACGAAATTGAACATTAGATCAGTGAGGTCGACTGATTGATGAAATATTTTGTTCAAATATGTGTTTCTGCTAAACCTTGCTGTCTCTTGTATAGGATACACCTGCTCCTGTCTGAAGTTTATGAAGACAGATCACAAGGCATTGACATTTGGTCCACTTGCTAATAGGCAGTTAATGTTCTGTGGTCAGTCTTGGCTGTGCCTCTTTTCTTCACGTGCCAACATTATTTTGTGGATTCATATTAAGTATTTAAACACCAAAGTGATCACACACCCACACATTCCCTAAAATGTGGGCTGACTTGTTGGCCAACCATTCATGAACCTGGGGATTTTTTGAGAGAAACTATTTAATTTGTTTTCTGATTTCTCTGAAAACATTTAAACAAACAGACAAAAATTCCAACTTGTGAAACCCACATACTAATAAAAATCACACAAACATTATAGAAGTTGGAATTCAGAAAAAGTAAAACTTCTTTTCAACCTCCCTTTCAGAGAAAACTTCACCAGTAAAAGTTTAGGGTATATGGCTTCTGGTCATTTTTCTATATTTATATATTTGCATCATATTATTATTATCAGTATTTGAGTAGAAACAGATTATGTATTATGTTTTGCAACTTATTTTTTCACTTAACTATAAACATGAAAGAACACTTCCCCTAAGAATTCCCTTAGTACAGGTTTTGGTATGCAGGAAAAAGAACTAGATGCCTGGGGTTCTTAGCTTTGGTGACAAGATAACTTTGTCTACACTGTTGAACTTTTGCCATCAGTGACCTCATTCTACTTTAATATGTCGATCTTTGAAGACTTACTTTTTTTTTTTAGTAATTCCATGGAAATAAACTATTTGGAGACCAGTTCTTTTCAGTTGTGATGCTTCTCATCCCCTAAATACACCAGTCTTCTGGAATGTAGTAATGTTTTATGAGTAAAAATTATGTTTTGTAAGGGCACTCCTCTTTGTCTGAAGTTCATTGCCAGAGGCAGGGACAGAATAAGGAGCACAGTAATATAATATGCACAAGGATATGAGAAAAGGAAGACAAAGGTAGAAGTATCCTTAAGTTTGAAAATGCCAGATCTGCTAGACAGTCTTAAGACAAGGATGGCATTGAGATTAGGGAAGGAGAATAGAGAGGGAAAGAGGCCAGCAGCAGGGCCCTGCTGATCCATGGATTCGCCTCCAGCCACAAGCCAGTCCCTAGCTCATGGCCATATGGGACTGAGGCTAAAGCCGTGCTCTAATTCTGATCCTCAGCTTCTCCACCAGCCCTCTCCCTCCCCCTACAAACATACAGCCTTGCAGTTCCTCAGCATTAGCAAATGTGTAATTCCTTATTTCGTCAGTGCTAAGTTGCACTTTTCCCCACATTTATACATTTCTCAAAAGGGATGCATGTTATCATCAGTTTATATTTAATGTGCATGGAGTCCTCTCTTGAAACTTTGTTATTAAACTAAGTCTTATAATAACATTTGGAGGAAGAACTCCAAATAGAGGAAGAACAATGTATGGGTTCTGGACTCTGCCTGGAGATGGGTTTGAACAGAACAGAACACAGTCCCTGCTTTCAAGAAACTCACAATGCGCTGTGGGGAAAGAGACAACTAAGTGGATGGTGCTGTGTGAAAATGTTTGGGAGATTCAGGGGTCCCTAGGAAGGGTCTACCCCAGCCTTGAGGTGCCAGGAAAGGCCTTCTAGAGAAAGTGGTACTCAATTGGGTATGATTTTGTGCTAACCCTTCTGGAGGTGGAGGGGGGGTCATTTGGTAGTGTCTCCAGAGAGACAGTTGAAGCACTGTTGGTTGTCACTACTGGGGATGAGGGAAGATGCTACCAGCATCTAGTGGGGATGTCAGGGATACTGCTAAATATCCTACAATGCCCAGGACAGCCTCTCACAATAATTATCAGGCTTCAAATGGGAATAGCACCCCGAGTTTGAGAAACCCTCCTGTAAGTTGAGATTGAGGGATGAATACAAATTGGTGGTGCTGGGGGAGGAGGTCAGGGTGGAGAGAGTCATAGGTGTCCAGGAAAGGGAGTTATTTGGAGGAAGAGTTTGCCATGATGGAGAATGGTACAGAAACAATGGTTTTGTATGGTTTAGAAGCAAAAGTATCCTATTATTGCTCCTAAGAAGGTTGTTGCTGACCATGATGAATTTGGTTTAGCAGAATCAGAGTTACAAAAGCCAGATGTAGAAGACTGAAGGAGAAGTAAGGAACATGAAAGCAGTTTGTGAAAAGGAGGAATTAATGATAACAATGGCAATTGTAGTTAAGTTTTTGTATATGCCAGAAACTATGCCAAATGCTTTATGTTCCTTATCCAGATTATTCTACACAACCCTGTGATATATGGATTACTTGGTATGGATGAGGAAACAGAGGTTTGGAGAATTTAAATAGTTTGTCAAGGATTCATGTAGCTAATAAATCATAGAGTCGGGATTCAACCTCAGGCCTCTTTGACTCTTACCTATAATTTCCCTAGAGAAGAAGTTAGGCCAGAGGGACATGGAGAGAGAGAGAGAGAGAGAGAATGTGTGTGTATGTGTGTGTGTGTGGGGGGGGGGGGGTGTGTGCATGCATGCATGTGTGTTTTCTCCCCTAGATGGGTGAGAGTTTAAGGTGGGGATGACTTAGCTAGTAGTCAAAGATAAATTGAAAATGCAGAAAGGATAACTATCAGACCATCTCGCAGATGAGGCAGTGAGGACTGACTCAAGAGCTCAAGTTAAGGAATCAGCCTTAGATGATGGGACATGGGAGCGCCACTTCCATTGTGGCACGAGGATAAGAGAGAAAAGATAGGTGTCTGTGCAGATGAGGAAGGGAAACCCTGAGAGAAAATGGAATCCTCCTCCTCTTCTCAGTTAGACACAGTGAGCAATGGGAGACAGACTTAACTATGTGAACATCAGATTACTGGGTGGAGTTGAGACCATGAATTTGCAGGGACACCAATCTGAGGATATGCAAAAAGAATTTGGGAGAAAACACTCATTTAAGATTGTTCCAGAGTTGACATTTTTTTCAGATGGTTATGTGGGAAAGGCAAAGGACTGGGTTGCATAACAACAGCTCATTCTCAGGTTTCCCTCCACCTGCTTAAATTCCTTTAGGAGGAGATAGTGTGGCTTTTCTTTTTTTTTAATTTTAATTTTATTTAATTGTTTTACTTTTCCATAAGTTATTGGGGTACAGGTGGCATTTGGTTACATGAGTAAGTTCTTTAGTGGTGACGTGTGACATTTTGGTGCACCCATCACCCACATATACACTGCACCATATTTGTAGTCTTTTATCTCTTGCCCCCCTCCCACTCTTCCCCCCAAGTCCCCAAAGTCCATTGTATTGTTTTTATGCCTTTGTGTCTTCATAGCTTAGCTCCCAAATATCAGTGAGAACATACGATGTTTGGTTTTCCATTCCTGAGTTAATCACTTAGAATAATAGTCTCCAGTCTTATCCAGGTCACTGCAAATGCTGTTAATTCATTCCTTTTTATGGCTGCATAGTATTCCATCGTGTGTGTGTGTGTGTGTGTGTGTGTGTGTGTGTGTGTGTGTGTGTGTGTATCTCACAGTTTTTTAATCCACTCGTTGATTGATGGGCATCTGGGTTGGTTCCAAGATTTTGCAATTGTGAATTGTGCTGCTATAAACATGGGTGTGCAAGTATCTTTTTCGAATAATGACTTCATTTCCTCTGGGTAGATACCCAGTAGTGGGATTGCTGGATCAAATGGTAGTTCTACTTTTAGCTCTTTAAGGATCTCCACACTGTTACACTGTTTTCCACAGTGGTTGTACTAGTTTAGTTCCCACCAGCAGTGTAGAAGTGTTCTCTGTTCACCGCATCCATGCCAACATCTACTGTTTTTTGATTTTTTGATTATGGCCATTCTTGCAGGAGTAAGATGGCATTGCATTGTGGTTTTAATTTGCATTTCCCTGATCATTAGTGATGTTGAGCATTTTTTCATGTTTGTTGGCCATTTGTATCTCTTCTTTTGAGAATTGGCTATTCATGTCCTTCACCTACTTTTTGATGGGATTGTTGTTTTCTTACTGATTTGTTTGAATTTGTTGTAGTTTCTGGATATTAGTCTTTTGCCAGATGTATAGATTGTGGATGATTTTTCTCCTACTCTGTGGGTTGTCTGTTTACTTTGCTGACTCTTCCTTTTGCTGTGCAAAAGCTCTTTACTTTAATTAGGTCCCAGCGATTTATCTTTGTTTGTATTGCACTTCCTTTTGGCTTCTTGGTCATGAAATCTTTGCATAAGCCAATGTCTAGAAGGATTTTTCCAATGTTATCTTCTAAAATTTTTATAGTTTCAGGTCTTAGATTTAAGTCTTTAATCCATCTTGAGTTGATTTTTGTATAAAGTAAGAGATGATCCAGTTTCATTCTCCTACAAGTGGCTAACCAGTTATCCCAGTAATTGGCTAATTGGATAATTTCAACAAATTTCAACCATTTGTTGAAAAGGATGTTCTTTCCCCACTTTATGTTTTTGTTTGCTTTGTTGAAGATCAGTTGGCTGTAAGTATTTGGGATTATTTCTGGGTTCTCTATTCTCTTCCACTGGTATACGTGCCTATTTTTATACCAGTACCATGCTGTTTTGGTGACTATGCCCTTACAGTATAGTTTGAAATCAGGTAGTGTGATGCCTCTAGATTTGTTCTTTTGCTTAGTCTTCCTTTGGCTATGTGGGCTATTTTTTGGTTCCATATGAATTTTAGAATTGTTTTTTCTAATTCTGTGAAGAATGATGGTGGTATTCTGACGGAGATTGCATTGAATTTGTACATTGCTTTTGGCAGTATGGTCATTTTCACAATATTGATTCTACCCATCCATGAGCATGGGATGTGTTTCCTTTTGTTTGTGTCATCTATAATTTCTTTCAGCAATGTTTTCTAGTTTTCCTTGTAGGGGTGTTTTGCCTCCTTGGTTAGGTATATTCCTAAGTACTTATTTTATTTTTTGCAGCTATTGTAAAAGGGGTTGAGTTCTTGATTTGATTCTCTGCTTGGCTGCTGTTGGTGTCCAGAAGAGCTAATTTGTGTACATTAATGCTGTATCTAGAAACTTTGCTGAATTCTTTTATCAGTTCTAGGAGATTTCTGGAGGAGTTCTTAGGGTTTTCAAGGTAAACAATCCTATTGTCAGCAAACAAACAGTGACAGTTTGGCTTCCTCTTTACCGATTTGGATGCCTTTTATTTCTTTCTATTGTCTGATTGCTCTCGCTAGAACTTTCAACACTGTGTTGAAGTGGAGTGGTGAGAGTGGACATCCTTGTCTTGTTCCAGTTCTCAGAGGGAGAGCTTTCAACTTTCCCCATTCAGTATTATGCTGGCTGTGGGTTTGTCATAGATGGCTTTTATTACATTAAGGTATGTCTCTCGTATGCTGATTTTGCCAAGCGTTTTAATCATAAAGGGATGCTGGATTTTGTCGAATGCTTTTTCTGCCTCTATTGAGATGATCATGTGATTTTTTATTTTTAATTCTGTTTATGTGGTGTATCACATTTATTGACTCATGTATGTTAAACCATCCCTGCATCCCTGGTATGAAACCCACTTGATCATGGTGGATTATCTTTTTGATATGTTGTTGAATTTGGTTAGCTAGTATTTTGTTAAGGATTTTAGCATCTATATTCATCAAGGATATTGGTCTGTAGTTTTCTTCTGTGGTTATGTCGTTTCCTGGTTTTGGTATTAGAGTGCTGCTGGATTCATAGAATGAATTAGGGAGGGTTCTCTCTCTCTCTCTGTCTTGTGGAATAGTGTCAAAAGGACTGGTACAAATTCTTTTTTGAATGTCTCGTAGAATTCTGCTGTGAATCCATCTGGTCCTGGACTTTTTTTGTTGGTAATTTTTTAATTTATCATTTCAATCTCACTGCTTGTTATTGGTCTGTTCAGGGTACCTAATTCTTCCTGATTTAAGCTGGGAGGGTTGTATTTTTCCAGGAATTTATCCATCTCTCCTAGGTTTTCTAGTTTATGTGCATAAAGATGTTCATAGTAACCTTGAATGATCTTTTTGTATTTCTGTGGTATCAGATGTAATATCACCTGTTTTGTTTCTTAGTGAGGTTATTTGGATTTTCTCTCTTCTTTTCTTGGTTAATTTTGCTAATGGTCTATCAATTTTATTTATCTTCTCAAAGAACCAGCTTTTGTTTCATTTATCTTTTGTGTTTTTTTTGTTTGTTTGTTTGAATTTCATTTAGTTTTGCCCTGATCTTGGTTATTTCCTCCCTTCTGCTGGGTTTGGGTTTGGTTTATTCTTATTTATCTGTTTCCTTGAGGTGTGACCTTAGATTGTCTGTTTGTGCCCTTTCAGACTTTTTGATGTAGATGTAGGCATTTAGAGCTATGAATTTTCCTCTTAGCACCACCTTTGCTTTGTCCCAGAGGTTTTGATAGGTTGTGTCATTAAGTTCGAAGAATTTTTAAATTTCCATCTTGATGTCATTTTTGACCCAATGTTCATTCAGGACCAGATTATTTAATTTCCATGTATTTTCATGGTTTGGAAGGTTCCTTTTGGAATTGCTTTCCAGTTTTATTCCACTGTGGTCTGAGAGAGTGCTTAAAATAATTTTAATTTTCTGAAATTTATTGAGGCTCATTTTGTGGCCTATCATATGGTCTATCTTGGAGAACATTCCATGTGCTGGTGAATGGAATGTGTATTCTGCAGTTGTTGGATGAAGTGTTTTGTATATATCTGTTAAGTCCATTTGTTCCAAGGTATAGTTTAAATCCACTGTTTCTTTGTTGACTTCCTATCTTGATGACCTGTCTAGTACTGTCAGTGTAATATTGAAGCCCCCACTATTATTGTGTTGTTATCTCATTTCTTAGGTCTATTAGTAATTATTTTATAAATTTGGGAGCTGCAGTGTTAGGTGCATATATGTTCACAATTGTGATATTTTCCTGTTAGACAAGGCCTTTTACCATTGTATACTGTCCCTCTTTGTCTCCTTTAACCACTGTTGCTTTAAAGTTTGTTTTGTCTGATATAAGAATAGTTACCCCTGCTCACTTTTGGTGTCCATTTGCATGAAATGCCTTTTTCCACCCCTTTAAATTTATGTAAGTCCTTATGTGTTAGTTGAGTCTCCTGAAGGCAGCAGATAGTTGGTTGGTGACTTCTTATATATTCTGTGGTTCTGTATCTTTTAAGTGGAGCATTTAGGCCATTTACATTCAATATCAGTATTGAAATGTGAGGTACCATTGCTTTCATCATGCTCATTGTTGCCTGTGTACTTTGGTTTTTTGTTTTTGTTTTTTAACTTGTATTTTTGTTTTATAGGTCCTGTGTGATTTATGTTTTAAAGAGATTCTGTTTTGATGTGTTTCCAGGGTTTAAGATTTAGAGTTCCTTTTAGCAGTTCTCGTAGTGGTGGTTTGGTAATGGCGAATTCTCCCAGCATTTGTTTGTCTGAAAACAAGTGTATCTTTCCTTCATATATTATGCTTAGTTTTGGGGGATACAAAATTCTTTGCTGATAATTGTTTTGTTTGAGGAGAGTGAAGATAGGTCCCCAATCCCTTCTAGCTTGTAGGGTTTCTGCTGAGAAATCTTCTGTTAATCTGATAGGTTTTCCTTTATAGGTTACCTGGTGCTTCTGTCTCACAGCTCTTAAGATTCTTTCCTTTGTCTTAACTTTGGATAACTTGATGACAGTGTGCCTAGGTGAAGATCTTTTTGCAATGAATTTCCCAGGTGTTCTTTGTGCTTCCTATATTTGGCTGTCTAGGTCTCTCACAAGGCTGGGGAAGTTTTCCTCAATTATTCCCCCCGATATGTTTTCTAGGCTTTCAGAATTCTCTTCTTCCTCAGGTACACTGATTATTCTTAGGTTTGGTCATTTAGCATAACCCCAGACTTCTTGGATGTTTTGTTCATATTTTCTTATTCTTTTTCTTTGTCTTTGTTGGATTGGGTTAATTTGAAGACCTTATCTTCAAGCTCTGAATTTCTTTCTTCTGCTGAGACTTTACAGAGCATTTTGCATTTCTAAAAGTGTGTCCAAAGTTTTCTGAATTTTTGATTGTTTTTTTTCTTTAAGCTATCTGTTTCCATGAATATCTCTCCCTTCTCTTCTTGTATCATTTTTTGGACTTCCTTGCATTGGGCTTTACCTTTCTCTGGTCTCGCCCTGATTAGCTTAATAACTAACCTCCTGAATTCTTTTTCAGATAAATCAGGGATTTCTTCTTGGTTTGGATCCATTGCTGGTGAACTAGTGTGATTTTTTTGTGGGGGGGTGTTGAAGAGCCTTGTTTTGTCATATTACCAGGGTTGGTTTTCTGGTTTCTTCTCATTTGGGTAGGCTCTGTCAGAGGGAAGGTCTATGGCTGAAGACTGTTGTTCAGATTCTTTTGTCCCAAGGGGTGTTCCCTTGATGTGTAGTACTCTCCCCCTTTTCCTATGGATGTGGCTTCCTATGAGCCAAACTTCAGTGATTGTTATCTCTCTTCTGGGTCTAGCTACCCAGCGAGTCCACCCAGCAACAGGCTGGTTGGGGGTTTCTGCACAGAGTCCTGTGATGTGAATTGTCTAAGGGGTCTCTCAGCCATGGATACCAGCACCTGTTCTGGTGGAGGTGGCAGAGTGTGCAATGGACTCTCTGAGGGTCCTTAGCTTTGGTGATTTAATGGTCTATTTTTGTGCTCATTGGCCTCCTGCCAGGAGGTGGCACTTTCTAAAAACTGTCAGCTATAGTAGTGTGGAGAGAGACCAGAGGTGGGCGGGGCCCTAGAATCCCCAAGATTATATGCCCTTTGTCTTCCACTACTAGGGTGGGTAGGGAAGGACCATCAGGTAGGGTGGGGAGAGATGTGTCTGAGCTTAGACTCTCCTTGGGCAGGTCTTGCTGCGGCTGCTGTGGGAGATGAGGGTGAGATTCCCAGGTCACTGGAGTTGTGTACCTAGGAGGATTATGGCTGCCTCTGCTGAGTCGTACAGGTTGTCAGGGAAGTGGGGGAAAGCCAGCAGTCATGAAGGGCTGGTCTCACTCTCACCGTGACCCCCGCAACAGCCCCGAGTCTGTTTCCAGGTGGAGGGCGAGATGGGCTTGAAAATTTCTCTGAGGCTACGCACCTCCCAGCTGCGAGAAAAAAGAGTTTTAGTTCTTCCACACCTGTGTAGTCTGCACGCCGGATTTATGCCCTCCCCGGAGTTCTGGCCAGGAGGCTTCTCACCACGTTTAAATTGTTACAAAGTTCAGCTACAGAGTTCCTTCTCCCTGTGGAGTTTTACCCCCTGCTCCTCTGGCCACCCTCCCAATGGATCCCTGTGATGCCAGGCAGGAATGGGCCGCTTGGGGACCCAGTGAGATCCCAGGGCCTTCCTGCTGCTTCCTCTACCCCTGTATTTCACTTGGCTCTCTAACTTGACTCAGCTCCAGGTAAAGTCGGAAACTTCTGCAAACAGACCTTCAGCTTCTCCAGTGGGGGGTGTGTGTTTGGGAGAGGAGGGTCTCCCTTTCCCATTTCTGCAGCTGGGGCACTCACAGTATTTGCAGTGTCTCCTGGGTCCTGCAGGAGCAGTCTGCTCTTTTCAGAGGGCCTGTGGGGTCCTCTTGGGATTGCTGGTTTGTTCTTGCAGTCAATCTGGAGCTAAAATTCACAATGCAAGCCTCCGCATGCTGCTCTGCCTGGAGCTACAATCTATTCCTGCCTCCCTTCTGCCGTGATAACAGAGATCCCTGCTTTTCCTTTAAAGGTATGGGTAGAGCAATGTGTTGATTGAGAATTGATGATATAAAGATATAATCACCAAAAATTATCTTCATAACCTTAAGGCTGGAGTTTCTAAAATCACTGAATATGGATTGTCTGAGGTTATTGATTTAGAAGTAGTCATTCAAGAATCCCAGACAGGGTGGAAAAAAAGAATGTCATTGTCAGCAGAAGAGTCAACATTCTTAGTAATCTGAAATAAGAAAGTTGAGTTTATTGATAACTAGTACTTTATCAGTCACCCCAGTTGTTTTACATTTGATGATTATTTTTAAATGTTTAACGTGTTGAAATTTGTTGAAAATTTTTCACATCATTAAGTAGAAAATGAAAGTGTTATTCACTTGGGCCCACGCCTAGATAATTTACCTTATTTGTAAATTTTGAAAACTTTATCTCCTCTTTTCTAGTAGTTGTTTCTCTTACTTTGTTTTCTTGTACAAATGCATTGGCTAGCATTTCCACAACAATGCTAACTACCAGTGATAATCCTTGTCTGGTTTTTTACTTTAATTTTTCTAATGTTTCATCATTAAGTATAACACTGAGTTTATCTTGAATTGCATCAAGTGCTCTTCAGCCTCTTTGGTACTGATAAAATTATTATTTTCTTTTTTGACATTTTAATATAGTGGAGTGTTGATAGATTTTCCTGTATTGAAATTGACTTTTCTCAGTCAACCCTACTTGATCTTGGAGGGATATTTGTTTAATGAGCTCCTGGATTTTATTTTGAATTTCTGCCTCAATATTTCTAAGTGACATTTTTCTGCTTTTTACTAGTATTTATTGTGGACTAAGCTCTGTAATCTGTGTCACACTGGATTTGGAAATACATTGGTAACAATCTTGTGCTTGAGACTTTAGACCAGTTTAAAAAGCATCTGATTTACTGATTCCTTAATGTCACTTAAGATGTTTTGGTGATTAGGTTGGCTATTTGACTGTTTGCTAGTCTTTCATTGATATTGTTTCTTCTTGGATTAATTTTGGTAATATATGTGTTTCTAGACACATTACATTAGTTTTACATATATTGCCATGAGTTTTACATGGTAATTTTAAAATTATAATACATTTTCCTTTACATTTTTGGATAGTGTCTACTTCTTATACTTATTTTCTATATTTATGTTTTGCCCTACTCCCTTTTTGTTGTTAATTAGGCTAGCTAATTGTTTTAAATTAATTTTATATAGCATATTTTTAAAAAATAAAAGTTACTGAGGAAATTACCTTATGATGTAATATATTGATTCCTGAGTTTGTTTTTAATGTAGTCAAATCTTTTCTTCGACTTTTCTTCTTCTGTCTTTCCATTTCCCCCTGTACTTGAGTTAGATGTTTGATTCATTTAGTATTATTATTTCTTGCTTTATAATTTTCATAGATCTGTGAAATTTCCTCTAAGTATTGCTTTTACCAGATTCCATATTTAAATACATAGCATTTTAAAAGTCATACTCTACTGGTGAGTTTTTATTTCTGGTTACCCCAGAAATTACTTAGGAGAATGTTAAAAAATTTTCTCAAATGTTTGGGATTTTTCTTTTTTTCTTTTTTTTAACATACCTTTATTTCACTGTAAGTAGAAATTGTGTACTATTTTTTAAATTTGTAATGTATTATCTCTTAATTGTGGCATTAAAGACTTCTATAAACCTCCACGGGCACTTGAAAACTTTTGTAGATGTCTCACAGATACTTGAAATGAAAATATGTTTTCTATTTCCAGATATAGAATATGAAATGTACCTCTTAACTCAGTTCTATGAATTACATGAATTTTATCCTTGGTGGTCTTTCTCCAATTAATCTGTTAAGTGCTTATGCCTATTTCTTGTATCTGTTGCCATCTTTATTTCTTTATTTATTTGGTGCTGCTAGAGAGCAGAAATATTCATAATAAATCTCCATTGTGGATTGTACTTTTACATTATTAAGTGTTCATCTCTATCATGTTAAAAGCTTTTGTATCTTGAATTTAACCATGAATAACATTAATCATGATTTCTTCCTTCTTTTGCTTGGTATATGTTTAATGATATTAGATTTTCAAACTTTTTGTATCATTTTACTATATATGTGTCTCTTACAGACAGAATCCAGTTAGAGATTGTTTTTCAATTTACTCTGGGGATATTTTCCAGAGGAAGAATTATCCAATTCACATTTATTGATATATCACATATACCTAATTCTAATTAATTTTATGCATTCTCTTTTATATTTCTGTGCAATTTCCTTTGTCCTCTTCATTTTATTATATAATCTGCATTTTCTTTGAGTTCTTTCCTCTAGTAATTCAAAGCTATAGTCTGTTTTTATTTTTATTACTGATTAAATTAATGTTCTTACACCTTTATTTGGAAATTTGTTAACTTCAGAAATGAAATAGTATGAGTATTTCTGTCCTGCTGTGAAAGTTGAGAATATTTGCCCATATATACATATATATATATATATATATATATATATATATTTTTTTTTTTTTTTTTTTTTTTTTTTTTTTTTTTTTTTGAGACTGGGTCTCACTCTATCACCCAGACAAGAGTGCAGTGACATGATCTCGGCTCACTGCAACCTCTGCCTCCCAGGCTCAAGCAATTCTCCTGTCTCAGCCTCCCGAGCAGCTGGGATTATAGGCACATGCCACTACCACCTGGCTAATTTTTGTATTTTTAGTAGAGATGGGTTTCACCATGTTGGCCAGACTGGTCTTGAACTCCTGACCTCAAATGATCCACTTGCTTCTGCATCCCAGAGTGCTGGGATTACAGGCCCGTTAATATTTATCCTCTAAAGCTTTTTCACTTCCATCTGTGTATTTTATTATGGTTAAGTTTTTTTTCCAATTCTACATACTTTTATAGTTATTGTTACGGAATTATTTATTGTTATAACCACTACATTTAAGGAATTATAATTTTATTTTGTAAGTATTATCAATTATTCAATTTTAGTTCTAAATGTAAGTGGATTCAATGCTCACAGCTTCTGCTTACCTCTAAATTACCTATTCTTGAGATCTTGATTTTGAACCTTCCGTTGGTTGTATTTTGAAGAAAAGTTACTTACATGCTGCATTCTCTGACTATGCTGATTAGAAAATCATTTTTTATTACTTTTATATATTTAAAAAACTGGTTGTGAACTTAGTTGGGAATTGAATACTTCGGTATTGTTCTCTCTTTCTTGAGCCTCTACAGACACAGCTTCACTTTTTTTCTGTCATCAAATGTTACTGTGAAAAAGTCAGAGGACACCTGACTTTTTCTGTTATAATTGACTAATTGTTAAAGGTCTTGATGTATATAGGATTCAATGTTTAGCCTTGAAATTCTGTAACCTCACCAAGATGTTTCCATTTTACTGATTCAGTCTTACTTTTTCTTGGAATAACAGATACTCTTTTATTTCAACTAAGTATTTTCTACCACAGATTTAAGCATATTTTGTTTTGCTTTGTTTTGTTTTGCTGTCTACTTCTACGAAACCTTTTATCTGTATGTTCGATCTGTTTTCAAACCTTCTTATCTGTCATCTTCTCCACTTGCTTTCATCTACTTGTCCTTTTCCTCTGCATTTTGTGCAGTTTTTTGAAGACTGTTTTCCACATCATCAACATTGTTTTTGATTTGTGGATTTTGCCTCTTATAACTTTAATATATTTATTACTTCTGCAATGATATTATTTTTGTCATCATTTTCTTTCTTCAACTGCCAGCCTCTCTTTCATCTTGTGCTGATGTCTTGTCATCTTGTCTTTGATCTCTTCTTTCATAGAATCTCTGTTAATTGTTGTATATAATTTTCTTCTGTGTCCTGTTCCTCCAAAATAGATTTTTTCATGGGTCGTTTCCATGCTACATTTTTCTGTCGTCCTCCACCCCTTGTTTTAGTTTTTTTTTTTTTTTTTTTTTTTTAATAACTCATTTGTCTTCGAGGCATAACTAGCAGAACTTTTTCTTGGCCCTCAAAAAATGAGAGAAACATCTCTTTAAATCCCCTCCTCAAGCCTTGCTTAATTCTGCTTTTAGAACCTGAGTTTGTGTCTTGATGGCTTGACTTGCTTCAGTAGTCCTTCAGCAGTTTAAAAGGGTTCTGGCTAGGTTCCTGGGCAGGACACAGTTGAATTTTTCTCTCTGAACTTCATGATTCTAAGTTTTAAGTCTTGCTTTTGATTCAAGGGTCCTGTCAGTTTATGGGTTTGGTGTGGCCAAACTCTTTTTTTCTTTGTCTATGTTTTGTCTTTCTTTTTCCCCAGCCAAGCCTTTGTTAGCAGTGTGAGACAATTAGCCACCATTTTTTTCTGGAAGTTTCTTTGGTTAGCCTAAAGCATATATCCTTCTTTTGAGAGATTTCCAGACACATCTTTGTCTTCAGATGTTGGTTCTTAACTGAGAGTTTAGCCCTGCAATATAGCTTTAGGGCAACAATCAAATGACCACTCTAAGCTTGGAGGTATTTTCTAATAAGATTTTATTTATCACGAAAGCGTCATGTCATGGAAGAGTCTGGGATCCTGAGGATTTACCCAACTCTTAGTATTTTCTAGGTAAAATACTCTGATTCTTTCCTTTGTGGATCCATGTCCTGCTTTAGAAATATCAAGGACACTGTGTCATGAACCCTTCTGAAGTTTTTAAGGGAGGTAGGTATCAGTATCAGCACTTGAAGTAGCCACAGTCTTCATTCTTTCAAGACCAGTAATTGTCTTTTATGAGTGTACTCATGTTAGTTTCTGATGCTGGTTCTGCAACTTAGTATTTTCTCATTAATTGCTATATAAGAAGTTAAATATTTGCAAACAGTAGTTGTCTCCTGTGCTCTTCAAGGACTGTGTAGCTATTATTGCATTCATCCAGTCGGCAGCATTTTAAAATAGGGCTCCAATGCAGTGGAGCAAGGAATGCTCACTGTTCTAGCTGGTGGTCTCAGGGACTGTTTCATACAGGAAGGAAAACTTGAGCTTGGTCTTAAAACTTGCTTGGGCCTCAGAATCACCCTGAGAATATGTAAAAAAAAATTACTGGACCTCAACACCAGAGTTTCTGATTCAAGTCTTGGGTGGAACTCAATAATTTGCATTTCTAACAAGTTCTTTGGTGATGCTGATGCTGCTGGTCCAGGGATTAGACTTTGAGAACCACTGTCGTAAAGGATGGGAATTACTTAGACCTTCCAAAAGCAGGTAAAAGTGTTCTACATGGAGGAAAACCGTGAACAAACATAGAGATCTCAACATCTTCCTGATTTTCTAAGCTATTCTCTTCAGAATGATAACAGGCTTTTCTAAGAGACCCTTAGGGAAGATAGTTTAAAAGTTAAAGATGATTCCCAGACTTTCTGATACATTTAGATTTTTTTATATCCAACAAATGGATATAGATACCCTCTAGGAATAAAGTTAGATAAATAAAGAATGGATAAAGATAAATTAATATATTAGTAAAGAGAGAAAAATATTCCAAGTTGGTTTCAGAATGCAGTATATAATTTGAAGCGAAATCCAGTATGAACAATATTCTGGTATCATTAGTCTGAGTCATTCACTAGATGTTCCACAAAGAGGCTGGCTTTTTTGACAGACATTCGTAAGGCTGACTACTCCTTTCCTTTCCATTTTACATGAACCGACCCTGCTATGTCCAGATCCTCCTAAGGCTCGTTCAGCTAGCCTCTTCAGTGACTTTGTTGGCAGTGCACATTTTCCATAAGAAACAAGATGATGTTTCTCGTGGGGTAGATTTGGCAGGCATAAAGCTACTACATAACATTGTTCCGACTCCATGAGGTTGGATTCTAAAGATAATTCAGTGTTATAGCTCTTGTTCTTCTGTGTATACCTTTGTCAGCAACTTTCAGTCTTCCAAACATGTTTCCAAAGTATAAACACACTGCTTGCATGCCTAAGAAGTTCTTTGAATAGTCAATCTGCAAAAAAATGGATTTTGTACCTTTTCAGTTACTCTCCTGGGTGTGGATTCAGAGTAGAGGAGACACTTGTGGTTATTCTGAAATCTGCCTTCCTGATGAAGACTCATTACTGAGAATATACGGGGCATGGACCTTAAGTGTGAATACTGTTGAACAACTGACACGTATGGAATGTCTTTACTTGTGAGTTCCTGTCTCAAATTATGAAATTCAAAAGATTTTTTTTCTGGCTTCAGAAAATGCATGTGCCAGAAGGCTTGGGCAGGTTATTTTTCTTGAGACTTCAGTTTCACTCTCTGGAAAATGAAGATGTTGGACCAGGTTGGACTATATGGTCTTTAAGATCTCCTCTCCATTGGACATGATGAACCTATTGATGGTTAACTTTTAGAGTAGAGTCTTCTCTTTGACTTAAGGAAGGCACAAATAATATTTCAATATTTTTCAGGGAGGCTAAGAAGAAAAAATTCTGTTTCTACCTGATTTTGTTACACTCCCTCCACTGAAAATGTTTATACAGTTTTGAGCTATAGGACAGAATTGTTCCTCTGGCTTTCCAGGATACTTTGCAAACAAGAATAAAAAAGGCTTTGTGGAGGGAAGGCAACCAAATGGTCTCAAGTGTAGTCAGGTGATGACTCCAGGTGTCACATCAGTTCAGGGTAGCTTAGCGGTGTTATAAACACATAGGTGGAACAATGCAGCCAGAGGCAGCTTCTCCATGGATGATGAGGAAAAGGAGGATGGTCATTTACTTAAAACTCATGGACAAGTGGAAACTTAGAATTGCCAGTGGAGACTTAGAATTACTAGTGTCTCAGTAGTCAGCTAACCACTGTGATGTGGCTTCATTAGCTTCATAAGCACTAGGTTTTGCTTTGTTTTTCTGTTCATGGATGCTCTCTGGAATTCCTTAGGTTCTTGAACGTTTAGTTCGATTTTGTACCACTGGTTAATTTTCTCCTGGAAAGCAGGCCTGCATACAGTTAGTACTCATAGCACAAATCTCATCAGAGCCAGACTTATGCCGGGCCCTGGGGATATAAGAATAAAAAAGAACGTATTACTTGTCCTCTGAAGAGTGACTTATAGTAGCCTGGGGCCCTGTCACTTTGAAAGAAGATGATTTTACACATTGGAGAGGAGAACATATGCATTGTTTTTCACAGAAATTTTAGTCAGAGGTCACATGCTAAAGACTTAACTTTTTTTTTTTTGAGACAATCTCATTCTGTGACCCAGGCTGGAGTGCAGTGGCATGATCTCGACTCACTGCAACCTCTGTCTCCCAGGCTCAAACAGTTTTCCTGCCTCAGCCTCCCGAGTAGCTGGGATTACAGGCACCTGCCACCAAGCCCGGCTAATTTTTGTGTGTGTTTTTAATAGAGAAGAGGTTTTACCATGTTGGCTAGGCTGGTCTCGAACTCCTTACCTCAAGTGATCTGCCCGCCTCAGCCTCCCAAAGTGCTAGGATTACAGGCATGAGACACTGTGCCCAGCTGACTTGACCATTTTTAATGACATTTGCCCCTTACTCACAAAACTCACAGGATTATCAACTGTGCAAAGGTGGATACAAAGGCCGTATCACTAGGAAAGACAGACCAGTCACATGCCTTCGCCTAGGATTTTTTTTTTTTTCTGAAGAGATTTTTGGTAACATACCCAAATTAGAAAAATAAAACTGAAAACTCATCATGATATCATATAGCATGAGGGCTGCTAAGATCATTTAGAACCACACAATTCTAAAATCTTGGACCTGGGCTCTCCCAGGTTGTTGACCCTCTAAGGATCCAGAGACTCCCCAGCCAGGACCCCATAAAGGGCCTCTGAAGACAGGTGGGTTATATGCAGAGAACGAAAATACCTGGAGATCATTAAGTTTTCAGTCTCAGCACTATTGACATTTGGAGCTAGATAATTCTTTGTCGTGGGGACTGTCCTGTGCGTTGTAGAATGCTTAGCAGTATCCATAGCCTTTACCCACAGATGCTGGGTATGATAACTAAAACTGCCTGCAGATACTGCCAAACAGCCCCAAGTTGGGGCAAGCGGGGAATAAAATTACCGCTCGTTGGGACTACTGCTTTATGACAACACAGGGTTAGTAGAGTCATCTAACACTCATGACCAATCTCTGTTGGTTGGTTGGAATCCTATCATTCAGAAGCTCTAGTTCATTCATTTGTTCCTTCCTTCATTCAGCGTATATTTCTGAGTACCTGTTGAGTACACTGAGTGTTCCCAAGGCTGAAGAGCCAGACAGACCTAGACTCCTTCTAAGGGTACTTGTGTTCTGGTGGGAAGAAAAGACCACAAACAAACAAGGGTCATGCCAATAGTGAAGGAAATAAAGTAGTGGATTGTGGTAGAGAGAAACTGTGTGTGGGTTGGTGGTGTGAGTAGGGGTTTCAATTTTGTAGATTTTGTAAGGGTTGGGAGTGGTGGCTAAGATAGAGTTGTCAAGGAAAGCCCCTGGATTTAATTTATAAGAAGGCAGTCACATGAAGATTGGCATTTATATGCCTCTGAATAATAAAATGTAAGGGAATGAATTTAATCAGGAAAAAAAATCTTAGAAAATATGAGAAGAAAATCTTGTAAAACAGGTCCTTTGTACAAAAAGGTTGAACGTCATGATCTAATCTCTTCATTTAACAAAATGATCAAAGTAAGGGCCTCAAAAGACTTGCTCTCAAGGTGAAGATGGCAGGCAGAGACATCATACCTACTGTCGCTTTTTGGTTTTAGTGATCTGAGAACAAATTCCTTAATGGCTGGATAGGCATTTCTGTATGTTTTTTTTTTTTCTTTTTTTTTTTAAAACAGCTCAACAGTGGATATGCTGAAAAACCTAACTTTGTTGGGCAAAAGTGGGATTTATCATTAAGGATATATGGAATTCGAGGCTTGGCTCCTTAACTGAGCACTGTAGTGTTTTCACCTGGTAATAAAGTCTACTGTTGTGTTGGTGGACAAATGTCTAAGCTTTCTGCTCAGTTCTTGGGATGTAAGAAGTTTTAGGAATAAACTTACTTGCTAAAAGTAGATTGGGGATTGCAAGAGAAAAGAAATTTCTTAGCTTTCATTTTTAGAACATTTCTAATTTTGGAGTATATTCCAGTCCCATATAGAAACACATATGGATGTTTCTCCTGCTATAAGGTTGCATTAATTTGTTGAAGCAAGGGTGGGGAAACTAATGTATCTGAATGGGCCAGTTGGTTAGTTTGATAAGAGAGAAGGACAGCCTTCTGTTGGCTTCTGCTACAGGCAGAAGTCAAGAAGAGGAAAACAAAAAATCACAGTCCCCTTGAGTAGGAGGACTTGAAAGCATTTACGGTCTATATAGGCTCAGGCACTGTTTGCCTTTTCAGAAAGCAGGGGTTTAGGACTTTATCCTCACAGGGTAGTTATATTAGAAACCATGGTTTGGAGAAAGACACACAGACAGGCAGATCCAGGTGCCAGGCTTAGGTAATCAGTTTTGTCTGCTATAAGAAAATAGACTGGAAGGGTTATTACATCAGGGGCTGCCACTGATGGAGGCAGGCTCAGAATCATTCTCGTCTAAAGCAAGTGAATTGTCTGAATTTTTTGAGCAAATGATGAGCATACAAAAGTGAGCAAGTCTCAGGGAGATTAGATTGAGATTTTCCCCCAGATAAAAGAAGTTATTTCAGCAAAACTTCCTCACACACTCCGCAAGCCACTGGCCATACATCATTTTTTTTTTCTTTGCATAGTAATAGAAAACAAGGTAAGTTGTTAAAAATGGTTTCTGGATTCATTCACTGAATCTGTAAAATTGAGACTTGGTATGTTTGGCTGAATCTTGTGAGGCACGAACACTTTGGGCCATGAAGACGCACCCAAGGCCCAAGGTCAGTCAGGCTGACCAGCCCCCAGGGAAAGTTCTCAATTCATGTCTTGGTCTTTCATGATGTGGAAGATGACTTGTACTGCAGCTTCTGCTTACTCTGCGTCTTAATCAGTTCTGTAATGAAGACCCAGCAGCATATCTGCAACTTCCCTTTAATTTTACAATTTTTGTAATGAGAGTTCTTGTGTGAAAAGTGTCTGTAGAAACCCAGCCAGCATTCTGAAGAGTCGATAAAGCAACACCGTGATTTTCTGTCTCTGCTGTTTGGGCGAGGTTTAGCTCTGGGGGGGGAGAAATCAGTTATCTGTTGTTCTAAGTACAAGGGCAAGAAGAGCTGCAGTTTCCAAGGAACTTCCTGGTGAACCCATGACATTTCAGAGAATTCCTCAATACTTATTATTTCTCACTTACTCATTCTTAGGACACCAAGAATGGGTTCCCATCATTTGAAAGGACATGATGAGCTGGAATCTCATTTATCATGGTTGCATTTTGAGAATTTCATTGAGGGGGAGTCGTCTTCATTTTGTTTTGTTTTGTTTCTAAACCACATCTCAAGAAAATTGTCAAGACGCTTCTCAGAATTAGAATTATCCAGTGAACTGCAAGTTCCCCTTTACAGACAATGAAGTCTAAAGCTACTGAGATATCAGCCTGCTTCCTCCCTTTCTTTTCTTGTCCCTTCTCTTCTTTTATCTCCTTATTCAAATCACACGCTTCCTTTTCTACGGACAGGAGAGCTGGCAGACTGCCTATTGGCCTGTTGGCCTCAATTAGCCTTATATCATTGCAAAGGAATGCATGAATTCTCCAGAAGGTATGTAGTATCTCTTTCTGTATGAGACACTTACTACCTGCTTTCATAACAGGTCACTCAGCCGGAATGACTTCTTATTTACATATCCAACATTTTTAGCCACTTGGATTACATCCCTAGATGCTCATTTCATTTTAATGATGATTCCAAAGGTATCTATTAAGAAATAGTACTCCAGCATACTCTGTAGTACTTGAAAACTTTATGCAGGAGAGCGATCCTAAAATAAAAAGTAACCTGAAGGCTAGCATCCTTGGCCAGTAGGTGATTGGGTTATTAATCTGCAAATTGCCTGCTTCAGACTTTGTGCTTATATACAAGGTCCCACAGATGGACCAGGCCAACTGTATACAACAGAGGCCACATGCATTGGCAGGACTTCATCTCATGGTATTTCCCTGCTACTATTTAACTTCAGTCTCATATTGGGGGTTACATATGTGATTGCAAATTAATCCTTTCTCTTCTGAAAATTTGGTTTTGAAGAACAGCTGTGTCTCCCTTCTGAATTCCTTAATTATTTATCCTCCCTGATATGTTAAACCTTTCATTAGTGTGGTGAATTGCCAAGAGTACACAGAACTGCTTAGATCATGTAGCAAAAAGTATAAACATTTGATAGGTCATTTGAAGACTACATGGTGAGCCAGAATCTGTAGTAGTACCAAATGCTATGGGATTGTTGGAGGTAGCTTGTTGTTGGAAGTTGCTTGTTGGTTTATTTTGCTGGTTTATTATTTTTTTATATTTATTTATTTATTTATTTATTTATTTATTTATTTATTTATTTTGTGACAGAGTCTCACTCTGCCACCCAGGCTGGAGTGCAGTGGCGCGATCTCGGCTCACTGCAACCTTCTTCTCCCGGGTTCAAGCAATTCTCTGCCTCAGCCTCCTGAGTAGCTGGGATTACAGGTGCCCACCACCACACCCGGCTAATTTTTTTTATTTTTAGTAGAAACAGGGTTTCACCATGTTGACCAGACTGGTCTCGAACTCCTGACCTCCTGATTCATCCACCTCGGCCTCCCAAAGTGCTGGAATTACAGGCGTGAGCCACCACGCCCTGCCTGCTGGTTTATTGTTTTACACTATAACATGGAGATAGTACCGATGTCATTTGTATTTATTCAGAAAAGAACTGATTCTGCCCCCAGCTCTTGTTAAATTTGGAGGGCATATGCCCATATATGAGTTAAAATTAAATCAAGAAAATTAATTACATATATCTGTATGTCATTAATTATATCTATAATTATGTGTGTTTGTGTATAGATATATATATTTAGACATTCTATATTTGCATTTGTAGATTTGATTCCATAACTGCTGTTCCTGAAAGAGATTTCACCTCAACTTTTCAGGTCATTACTCTTTGGAAAGATGCTTTAAATGATTATTAAATTATTAGAACTTCCACTTCAGCCATAACAAGTGTAAATGATTAGTAGTGATAGAGAACTTCCCTTGTTGCTAAGAATAGCAACCCAACATTTATAAGTTTACTAGTGCCTTTTTAAAAAAAATCATTTTTCATCTTAAGGTCCTGGGGCTTGCAACTGAAAATATTAATCTCCCAATACACATCACAAATCTTTGACCTCAGCATATCAACAATTTCTGATCTGCAAATACATTTTTTAGAATGATCTTTAGTCTCTTGATTTTTCTGTTTTTCTAGCTGAACTATTCCAGAATTTATGTATTCTATTACCTGTCCTTGGATAATTGGTTTTTCCATTCATAAGAAAGAAAACTAAGAAAAGTTCAAACAACAGGTGCTAATGAGAGCCTTTTATTAGAATTATGATTGAGGAGAACTGGGAAGTTTAGTGTCTTATAAATGAAACTAGGTTTCTGGAGTGGACAGAGGAAAAGCACCTTATGGTGTTTCTGGTTCTATTTCTCAAAGGCTTTGAAGGTTATAATTAGTTGCTACTGAATCACATGGCTGTGGTGCTTCACAGCTTTATTTCTGGGCTGCAGTCCTTCAGTCAGAGAACAGGTTAGATCCAGGCAAGGCCTATGCCTTTTAATTTGATCACTTCCTGAAGAGAGCTGGGATTTTGACTTGAGGACCACATTTATGCTCCTGGGCCCTCAAACTAAAGAGCAGTGTTTGCCAAGCTGACCTGGACCAAGTGATGGTGGCGGGCCTGTAAGAATGCTGTACAATGTCAACACCTCCCCGCTCCGGTTACGTCTGAGCAGTGAGTTGGAAGGATGGACGATGAAGCTGTGGTTTGTCTCCTTCCTCCTTCACAGGAGGGAAAACTGAGGCAAATGGATCTCTGGAATTCTGAGCACAGAAAGTAGGTGGGCAGGTGGTATAAATTAAAATTGGTGTTCTTAAGATTGAAAATGAGCAGGCTTTGTCCATAATTTACTTTTCCCCATTTCTGTATATATGTTTCAAATCTTTGACATCATCTCTGGATGTTCTTTATATCTTAAAGAGTTTGTCAAACATAAACAATTGGATTGTGGGTTTGCCCATCAAAACCCCACATTTTGAAATCCTTCAAACTGTAAATGCAAACTGAACAAACCAGCAACGAATAAGTAGTACTAAAGGCAGTGACTAATTAGGATGGTTTAGGGGTTTCATGTTAGGAGGACCAGTCACATTAGGTGCCAGTTATTTTAGAATGAATCTGTGTTCACCTTGCAGGGATCATGATGGGTGGTGTTTAAAGTCTAGGCATCTGAGGTCTATTTGACCTTGAAGGGCCTAGACATATATCTGGGGTAGAAGACAGGGATGCTTGTTTGATATGTAGATTCATCTCATGACCTTTTGAAATAGACTCTTTTTAGTTAGTTCAGAAACTTCCTCTTTTACTTTTGATTTTGCTGATTTTGGTGAGAAAAAATATTGCTAATTTCATAATCATAGTATTATTAAATGAAGTCAATAGATATGAGATCAAAGCTTTTAACTTAAAATCATAATTTTATAGCAGATCAGTGACTAGGTTAGCCTCTTAGGGTTGCTGCTCTTCGGGATTGATGAAGAAGATATGCAGAGCTTATTTCTCACCTTTTTTTTTTTTCCTCGGTTTTGGTTTCTTAGAGGATTACCATCTGCTGCAAAAACATATGAATGGGTCATCGTCATGTCCAGTGTGTTTTTGTCTCTGTCCTTCTCTACTCCCTTCCCCTCCACTTGCTGTCACTTTTTGCACATGTGCCCATGTACCATCTCATAAACATATCAAGTTTCTCTCTCTTTGATTGGGCCATGCCAGCAACTTCTATTTTCTTCTTCTGTCAGCGTCTTCAGGAGAAATGTGTACACAAAAGCAAGATGGCTTTCAAAGTAGGCTACATCCTCCTTTCAGTACTTGGTGCAGACATGAAATTGAAGGCCATTCAGCTCTACCTGATGCTGGTTCTCTCAGCGGCCTGGAGATTAACCTCTTCTAAGGCTCTGAGCTATTTTTGAGGCAGAGGCTGCAACAACATTAAAGCTAGAACCCATTAGGAAATCACTTTCATCATCTCTTCTTTTTCCAAATCAGTGACTCTTTTTCTGATCTCATAACCCTTTAATCTCCTTTGTAGCAGAACAAGGAGATTGTTAGTTTATGTTTGTGTCCAGTGAAGTTAGCATCCTTGATAATAGCTTCAGAAGACACCAAGATATTAGAGAACTACATAGAGAGATGAATTTCATTTCTAGGTGGATGACTTAATGCCGAAGGTGCCCTGCTTTCCTTCTGCAGAACCGTAACTTCTGTTGATGTTGTGCAAATCAGGCTCAAACTTTCCAAAAGACACACAGCAGAAAGCCTTTTGTTGCATTATTTCTAAAGGCTTGAAGTTTTGAAGGGAAGAGATTTTGTTTTCCTCTCTGCTACACAATGGAGCTTTCAGAGAACCTCCTTTAAAAGGAATAGCTACAGCCTTTGTGTTGAAGGGTGTGTCTGTTGGCAGGGTCTGCTGATGCAGACAGACTGGCTGGTGATTAACAAAGGTCATTAGACTTTGGAATCTGGCAAGCAGAGTCGGATGGTATGTCTTCTGTGTGTGGAAGGACGACTTCCAAGAAGCCAAGGCATTCTGGAGGTCCCCCCACTGCACCCCTAAATCCTGATGTAGAACAGGATCTGGCCCAGGGTCATCCTGCTCTGACCAGGGCTCTGCTGGGACTAACAAACCAGCATATCAATCATGGAATAAAAGAACCTTTGGAGATCTTGGTGAATGACATTTGAGGAGGAGAAAGGTGCTGCTTTTCAGAGAGAAATGAAAACAGTTAATTCTTTGTTGGGAAGAGAAGAGCATAGGAGGAGCCCAGCCTGCTCTTCTAGCATTCATTTCTGATTGTTAGCCTAGCAGACTCCAGGAGAAGCCATGTTGTGCACGGAGGAGAAGCTCTGAGCTAAAATGGCTGCCCCTAAAGCTCAGAGGACTAGGGCAGCTTAGTGAGTCTTAGAGCTTCAGTGACGCAGGAGCTCATATCTCTTGAAAGTGTGATAAACACATTCAGCAGAGCTGTGGCTTGTTTGGCTGAGATGAAAGGACTAAGCTTGGGGGATGGGGAGTGCACACTGGATGATCTGCTTTTTTCTGTGAAGTGTTCTAAATGCAGGAGTTGTCTGCACCATGGAAAAATTTGTTTTCAGGTCTAATGGACTGTGCGAAAGGAGAAGTGGGGTGGGGCCTCAGTGACTGCTGTAATTTGATCCAGAGCTGATAGCAACCTCTTCCACACAATTTGGGTTGGTGCTTAGACATAAAAGCTTGTGTATCTGGAATATTGAGACTTAGCTGAAAAGAGTCTGGTGCACAGTTCAATGTTTATTGAAAAAGGATAAATTGCTGGGTGAAAGAAGAGGAGGTAAATATCTGCGGCTCACTCTGCAAGCTCAGTCTGTCCAGAACTGGACTTGCCAGAAGTTATTTTAGCAGGCGATCAGGAGGAGCATTCTTTGATAGAAAATCCTTGTGTGATGGCTCCTTTCACTACATTGATGTATTATTACTGGACTTTTTTGTTCCTGCAGAAATAATTTATCTTTTACAGTAAAAGTATAGAGTATTACATCATAAAATACATTGGCTACGGTGTTAGTTCTTGGACATCTGGTTCTAGATTACAGTGACTCAGTAGAGTTTGTGATGATCTTACTGAAGTAACTTACTCATTAGATAATAACAGGGTATCTCAACTTAGGATATACATTAAGATAGGAAGGACTCCACCTTTCTAATACATTTTTGACTTCTTGATGGTGGGACTCTCCTTTGAGTTAGTGTGTAGCTTTCTGTATATTTCAGTCACAAAGTAAATAGCAGAATGAAGGTAGCTGGGCAAGTTTTGATTTATTCCACGGTAGGTTCACAGCTTTTTGCATCCAGGTATGTGCTTCATGTTTGTAAAGGAAAGAAGTGGAAAAAGGTAAAGTCATGACTTAGAAGCCCTTCTTCAAAAATGCAAGTTTCTGTTGTCTTCATGCAAATTGAGGTGCCAAGGTGCAACTTTAAACAGAAACTGGATTGTCATCCAAAGTTGGTTGTTTGAAAATCTCATGAGGAATATTTTATGACCTAATTAGATTGAAGAAGCTGTTAGGTTATAATTGGTAGGTAGTAAAACAGCAAATAGTCATTTAGCTCATGGAAAAAAAAACCCACAACTAAACTATTTGGAGAAGGGAGGAAAGAGAGGTGCACCCCAATATCAGCAAAGTTATTAAAGTAAGAAAAGCTACAATAAAAATGCTCTACCTCCACCCCCAAGATTTAAATACTATTTCACTAATTGGTGATAAAACACCAAGGTCATAATACTAAATAAACAGCTAATGAAGGTTGAAATTTTCCCTTTCTTCTGTGTGGACATCCTCTTTACTTTTGAGATGGTTCCAATTTAAAAAGAAAATGAGTCCAAGGCAGAACCAAAGCCAACATTAAGTTACCAAGAAATTTGGATTCAGTGGAGAAGCTCAGAAACTTCTAAAACTTTTGAAGTATTAAGCGTTTCCTTGACAAATGGCATTGGAAGACATATCATGCTAGAAAATGTTTATCTGGTATTTTTCCTTCTTTGAAGTTATGAGGTCAAGGACATCATCTCCATTATGTCTGATTGCCTCTCTTTAGCCAATGTTCCAACTGGCAAAGTCCAATAAGAGAAATCTACTGATACTGGAATTTTTTCCCATTAATGGATATATAGCCCCATCAGCTCGAGGTATGTGATTAGTGCATTCCTTAAGATGTTTTGTTCTGACTTCTGCCACAGGTTCCTAATGTGAGAGGCTAGACCCAGATCATGGAGGTGCTTCAGTGTGATGGCTGTGATTTCCGAGCCCCGTCTTATGAAGATCTCAAGGCACACATTCAGGATGTCCACACGGCATTTCTGCAGCCAACTGATGTTGCTGAGGACAATGTGAATGAGCTACGATGTGGGTCCGTGAATGCCAGTAATCAGACAGAGGTGGAGTTTTCTTCTATAAAGGATGAATTTGCCATTGCAGAAGATTTATCAGGTAAATCTATACTAAACTTGGCACGGCCGATGTATTTTAATTGCTCTTGTTTCCTTTTAGCCTGTAGCCATGGTTCTTAATATACGTGGCTTTTGCAGAGTTTCTTGTGCTTTGCTAGCCATTTTTGTGGTTTGGGCATCATGTATCTCTCCTTGAGTACCTTAGGTTTTATCCTTTCGAAAGCTTCCTCATATATCCTACCTTTCAATTTGGAGAACAAGATAGTTGCTTGGAAAGTTCTAGAAAAAGTAGTACAATTTATGCAACTTGTATTTTTATAGCTGTGTGGCTCATTTATGGAGATGAGGAGAATACCTAAAGCTATACACTGCATCTTTATCCATGAGAAGGTGCAGTACGTATATCTTCATTGATGCTTTGTGAATACTCTTCAAGGCCTCATCTTGAGACTTCAGGCCTTTTGCATGTGATGTTTAGTAATGAAGAATAATTGGAATGGTACTGATTTGCATGATTGGATATTTTAATTATCTTTTGCTTTGTCACTTTCCTTATGCTTTTTCTTTAGGTCAAAATGCAACTTCATTGGGGACCGGAGGTTACTATGGCCACAGTCCAGGATATTATGGTCAGCATATTGCCGCTAATCCCAAACCAACAAACAAGTTTTTTCAATGCAAGTTCTGTGTACGCTACTTCAGGTCAAAAAACCTCCTCATAGAACACACTAGAAAGGTCCATGGAGCTCAAGCTGAAGGGAGTTCATCAGGACCCCCTGTCCCGGGATCCTTAAATTATAATATCATGATGCACGAGGGATTTGGAAAGGTCTTCTCTTGCCAGTTTTGCACATACAAGTCACCAAGAAGGGCAAGAATAATTAAGCATCAGAAGATGTATCACAAAAACAATTTGAAGGAGACCACTGCTCCCCCACCTGCTCCTGCTCCAATGCCAGACCCTGTGGTTCCGCCCGTATCACTGCAGGACCCCTGCAAGGAACTGCCAGCAGAGGTTGTGGAGCGCAGCATCTTAGAGTCTATGGTCAAGCCTTTGACCAAATCTCGAGGCAACTTTTGTTGTGAGTGGTGCAGCTACCAGACCCCCCGCCGAGAACGCTGGTGTGACCACATGATGAAGAAACACCGCAGTATGGTCAAGATCCTTTCCAGTCTCAGACAGCAACAAGAAGGAACTAATCTACCTGATGTGCCGAACAAGAGTGCCCCCAGCCCCACTTCCAACTCCACCTATCTGACCATGAATGCTGCAAGCCGGGAGATACCCAATACTACCGTCTCCAACTTCAGGGGCTCCATGGGCAACTCCATCATGAGACCCAATTCTTCAGCTTCCAAGTTTTCGCCCATGTCTTACCCTCAGATGAAGCCGAAGTCACCTCACAATTCTGGTCTAGTTAACTTGACAGAGAGATCCCGTTATGGAATGACTGACATGACCAATTCTTCTGCTGACCTGGAAACTAACAGCATGCTAAATGACTCTAGTTCTGATGAAGAGTTAAATGAAATAGACAGTGAGAATGGTTTAAGTGCTATGGATCACCAGACATCAGGCCTGTCTGCAGAGCAGCTGATGGGCTCAGATGGCAACAAATTATTGGAGACCAAGGGGATTCCATTTAGAAGATTCATGAATAGGTTCCAGTGCCCCTTTTGTCCTTTCCTCACCATGCATCGACGTAGCATCTCTCGTCACATAGAAAACATCCACTTATCTGGAAAGACAGCTGTCTACAAATGTGACGAATGTCCGTTTACTTGCAAGAGCTCGTTGAAACTTGGGGCTCACAAACAGTGTCACACGGGTACAACGTCAGATTGGGATGCTGTGAATTCCCAGAGTGAAAGCATTTCTTCCTCACTGAATGAAGGTGTGGTGTCTTATGAGAGCTCAAGCATCAATGGTAGAAAGTCAGGAGTCATGTTGGATCCCTTGCAGCAGCAACAGCCACCGCAGCCACCACCACCGCCGCCGCCACCACCACCATCACAGCCACAGCCACTGCAGCAGCCACAGCCACCACAGCTGCAGCCACCACATCAGGTGCCACCCCAGCCACAAACACAGCCACCACCAACGCAGCAGCCACAGCCACCCACACAAGCCGCACCTCTGCACCCATACAAATGCACCATGTGTAATTACTCCACCACAACTCTGAAAGGGCTAAGAGTCCATCAGCAGCATAAACATTCATTCTGTGACAACTTGCCAAAATTCGAGGGGCAGCCCTCAAGCCTACCATTGGAAAATGAGACAGACAGCCACCCCTCTTCCAGCAACACTGTGAAGAAAAGTCAGACCTCAATTCTTGGGTTGTCCTCCAAGAACAATTTTGTAGCTAAAGCCTCTAGGAAGCTCGCCAATGACTTTCCTCTAGATTTGTCACCCGTGAAGAAGAGAACCAGGATTGACGAGATAGCAAGCAACCTTCAGAGCAAAATTAACCAAACCAAACAGCAGGAAGATGCAGTGATCAATGTTGAGGATGATGAAGAGGAAGAGGAAGACAACGAAGTCGAGATAGAGGTTGAGTTGGACAGGGAGGAAGAACCGACAGAACCCATCATAGAGGTTCCCACTTCCTTTTCTGCCCAACAGATATGGGTAAGAGATACCAGTGAGCCCCAGAAAGAGCCCAACTTCAGAAACATCACCCACGATTACAATGCCACCAATGGGGCTGAGATTGAGCTCACCCTTTCTGAAGATGAAGAGGATTATTATGGCTCCTCAACAAACTTGAAAGATCACCAAGTTTCCAATACTGCTCTGCTGAATACCCAAACTCCCATCTATGGGACTGAGCACAATAGTGAAAACACAGACTTTGGTGACTCTGGAAGGCTTTACTATTGTAAACACTGTGACTTTAACAACAAATCTGCCCGGAGTGTTAGCACCCACTACCAACGAATGCACCCATACATTAAATTCAGCTTTAGGTACATCTTGGACCCCAATGATCACAGTGCAGTGTACAGGTGCCTGGAATGCTACATCGATTACACCAACTTCGAAGATCTCCAGCAGCATTATGGCGAGCACCACCCAGAAGCCATGAATGTACTCAACTTTGATCACTCGGACCTGATCTACCGGTGTCGGTTTTGTTCATACACGAGCCCGAATGTTAGAAGCCTGATGCCACATTACCAAAGAATGCATCCCACGGTGAAGATCAACAACGCGATGATATTTTCAAGCTATGTCGTGGAGCAGCAGGAAGGGCTGAATACAGAATCCCAGACCCTGAGGGAGATTCTGAATTCGGCTCCCAAGAACATGGCGACTTCCACACCTGTGGCTCGTGGTGGTGGTTTGCCAGCTACGTTCAACAAAAACACTCCTAAGACCTTTACTCCTGAATGTGAAAATCAGAAGGACCCTTTGGTCAACACTGTTGTTGTTTATGATTGTGATGTTTGTTCGTTTGCAAGCCCCAACATGCATTCTGTCTTGGTTCATTATCAGAAGAAACACCCCGAAGAAAAGGCTTCCTACTTTAGGATCCAGAAAACTATGCGAATGGTGTCTGTGGACAGGGGCTCTGCCCTTTCTCAATTATCATTTGAGGTGGGTGCTCCAATGTCTCCCAAAATGTCCAACATGGGTTCCCCACCCCCCCCACAACCCCCGCCACCAGACCTCAGTACTGAGCTTTACTACTGCAAACACTGTTCCTACAGCAATCGGTCAGTTGTGGGAGTGCTTGTCCACTACCAGAAAAGACACCCAGAAATAAAGGTTACTGCCAAATATATCAGACAGGCTCCTCCCACAGCTGCAATGATGAGAGGGGTCGAAGGGCCCCAAGGCTCCCCCCGGCCACCCGCCCCCATACAACAGCTGAACCGAAGCAGCTCTGAGAGAGATGGCCCTCCTGTGGAGAATGAGATGTTCTTTTGCCAGCACTGTGATTATGGGAACCGGACGGTCAAAGGGGTACTCATTCATTATCAGAAGAAGCACCGAGACTTCAAGGCCAATGCAGATGTGATCCGGCAGCATACGGCCACCATTCGAAGCCTCTGCGACCGAAATCAGAAGAAGCCTGCCAGCTGCGTGCTTGTCTCCCCCTCTAATCTGGAGCGGGACAAAACGAAACTCCGAGCACTCAAATGTAGGCAGTGCTCATATACCTCCCCCTACTTCTATGCACTGAGGAAGCATATCAAGAAAGACCACCCCGCCCTGAAAGCCACAGTCACGTCCATCATGCGATGGGCATTTCTAGATGGCTTGATAGAAGCTGGCTACCACTGCGAGTGGTGCATCTACTCCCATACGGAGCCCAACGGTTTGCTCCTGCATTACCAACGGAGGCATCCAGAACACTATGTTGATTACACCTACATGGCTACTAAACTGTGGGCTGGGCCAGACCCATCCCCTCCCTCTCTCACAATGCCAGCCGAAGCCAAAACCTACAGATGCAGGGACTGTGTTTTCGAAGCTGTTTCCATCTGGGACATCACTAATCACTACCAAGCATTCCACCCCTGGGCCATGAATGGTGATGAGTCAGTGCTACTGGACATCATCAAGGAGAAAGATGCTGTGGAGAAGCCCATTCTTTCATCCGAAGAGTTGGCAGGCCCTGTGAATTGTGAAAACAGTATACCCACCCCTTTCCCGGAGCAGGAAGCTGAATGTCCAGAGGATGCAAGACTGTCCCCTGAGAAAAGCCTGCAGCTAGCTTCAGCCAACCCCGCCATATCCTCCACCCCATACCAGTGCACGGTATGCCAATCTGAGTATAACAACTTGCACGGCCTTCTCACTCATTATGGGAAGAAGCACCCTGGCATGAAAGTGAAGGCTGCTGACTTTGCCCAGGACATTGACATCAACCCAGGTGCCGTCTACAAATGCAGGCATTGCCCATACATCAACACCCGCATCCACGGCGTACTGACCCACTACCAGAAGCGACACCCGTCCATCAAGGTGACCGCTGAGGACTTTGTGCACGACGTAGAGCAGTCTGCTGACATATCCCAGAATGACGTGGAGGAGACGAGCAGGATCTTCAAGCAAGGGTATGGCGCCTACCGGTGCAAACTGTGTCCGTACACACACGGCACTTTGGAGAAACTAAAAATCCACTACGAGAAGTATCACAATCAGCCTGAATTTGATGTCTTTTCCCAGTCGCCCCCGAAGCTGCCAGTCCCCCTCGAGCCCGAGATGACCACTGAAGTGAGCCCTTCCCAAGTCTCCATCACTGAGGAGGAGGTGGGAGAGGAGCCCGTGTCCACTTCTCACTTCTCTACCTCCCACCTGGTCTCCCACACTGTGTTCCGGTGCCAGCTCTGCAAGTACTTCTGCTCCACGAGGAAGGGGATCGCCAGGCACTACCGCATCAAGCACAATAATGTCCGAGCCCAGCCAGAAGGCAAGAACAACCTCTTCAAGTGTGCCCTGTGTGCCTACACCAACCCCATCCGCAAAGGTCTGGCAGCCCACTACCAGAAGCGCCACGACATTGATGCGTATTACACTCACTGCTTGGCAGCCTCCAGGACCATCAGCGACAAGCCCAACAAAGTGATCATCCCATCCCCGCCCAAGGACGACTCCCCTCAGCTGAGCGAGGAACTCCGGCGGGCAGTGGAGAAGAAAAAGTGCTCCTTGTGCTCTTTCCAGTCGTTCAGCAAGAAGGGCATCGTGTCCCATTACATGAAACGCCACCCAGGGGTGTTCCCAAAGAAGCAGCACGCCAGCAAGTTGGGGGGCTACTTCACGGCCGTCTATGCAGATGAGCATGAGAAGCCCACACTGATGGAAGAAGAGGAGAGAGGCAACTTTGAGAAAGCCGAGGTGGAGGGTGAAGCTCAGGAAATCGAGTGGCTCCCATTCCGCTGCATCAAATGCTTCAAGCTGTCCTTTAGCACTGCAGAGCTGCTGTGCATGCATTACACTGACCACCACAGTCGGGACCTAAAGAGGGACTTCATCATTCTGGGCAACGGCCCCCGCTTGCAGAACTCCACCTACCAGTGTAAGCACTGTGATAGCAAACTGCAAAGCACAGCCGAGCTGACCTCACACTTGAACATTCACAATGAGGAATTCCAGAAGCGTGCCAAACGTCAGGAGAGGAGGAAACAGCTTTTGAGCAAGCAGAAATATGCAGATGGTGCTTTTGCAGATTTCAAACAAGAGAGGGTAAGGATATGTTTTGATTTCCCTTCCCCCAGGAGGCCTCTCATCACTGGTGCCCACATGCACTTCTTCGTTGCCAGCCAAACTGCTGCAGGCTTCCTAGTGACTTAGCTTGCCAGAGAGCTCAATAAGTCAATTAAACATTTCGAGCTTGATTATCTCCCATTCTGTGCTCACCCCTCTCCTTGGTCCCTTCTCCTCCCTCCTTCCCTTTGACTCCTCCCATGGCTCCCCAGGGGAGGTTTGGGGTGGTTTCTATGTATGTCTTTCTGCCAAGTAGCTTTATCTGAAGCCTAGTTTTACAACAACGCTCGCTCTTTCCTAAGGCAGTGTGGGCTGTCTCTTGGTACCATTAGCACTTCTCAGCCATGTCTTGGTCTTCAGTGTTTGCTACATGAACCTAACGTCTCCAGGAGTAGATTTTATTTTATCAAGAAGTTCATTAATGGCGCAACTATGCAACGTTTCACCTGCCTAGTTGAAACTGGTTTGAAAACCAGATGACTTAGTGGCAGTGACGATGAGCTTCTGCACAGAAATCTTCTCTACTCACAAGCCGTAATGTATTTGGGTTTCAAAGACTTTGCATAGTAGGCAGCGTGCCATGATGCTGACAAATTTGTTATATAAAAATACTCGCCTATATCTCCCTTGGTTTTTAACCTGCTAATCGGCTTTAAAATAAAGTATGTTAGTAAACTGCAAGAATAAATTCTGACAATTGAGGGAGGGCTCGGAGTACTGATGGCTACCACTGTATTTTACCAGCCTTTTGGTCACTTAGAAGAGGTGCCAAAGATCAAGGAGAGGAAAGTGGTGGGCTACAAATGTAAATTCTGTGTGGAAGTGCACCCAACGCTCCGAGCCATCTGCAATCACCTCCGAAAGCACGTCCAGTATGGCAATGTCCCAGCTGTGTCAGCTGCTGTGAAGGTGAGAACTGGAAGGTCTGGATGAGCATTGTGTGTGAGCGATTCGAGTTACTTATTAACCCCATTGCCTAAAGCAGCTCAGGAAAGAGCATCTCAGAATGCGGGCATTCCTGAATTATGCTTGGATTGGTTTGGCTTGTTTTGATTTCTTTGCAGGTTGGACCTTCCTCATCTTTCTGTTCAGGGAAAGGTCGAGTTTCGATCTGGTTTCCTTCCACGCGGATAGTTTGGTGGCAGCAGAAGGTCCAGGATTCTCGGTCTAGGAGGCTTCGGGTCGTCCTTCTATTCTGCGTTTAGTGCCATTAGCTCTTCGTTCTTCCAAGTTGCCCGAGCTCTTGAGAGGAATCAAGTGGGTTCTGTTCCCATCATCTTCTGCTCCTCTTTCTTCCTGACTTCTTACTGTTCTCATCTGGCTGAGGATGCAGAGAGCCTAGGAGAATCTCTTTGTCTTCTTATCCTGGGTCCTCTGGGGACTGCAAGAGACATTAAAACTAAAAGCGTTCAAGTCGCAATTGACCCTGAAAGCCTTGGTTTGTCTCCTCCATCCCCTCTCCCATATGATGCTGACAAGTGTCTTCCCTTTTCCCTCTGACTTTTATTAGGCCACCTGTTTTGAACATCATAATCCTAATAGCAGCCACCATGTCAGTAACCAAGCCACCATCCCCGTCTTCCAGGATATTGCTAAGCCCTATTATTTATTAAAACAGAAGTCATTTTGGGGTTCTGCCCTTTCTCTAAGGGTACACGCGAACATATTTTTGTCATCTGCCCTTCTTGAGCTTACATCCTATTTTGCCAATTTAACATGAAGATAAAGTCTCTACTTTTCTTCACTGAAGACTGAAGCTTTCTGTCTTTTGGCAGAACAGTGGCAACCCAGGGATATCAGCAGTCACTTTCTTTCAGACACCACTGCGGTGTGTCCCAGGCTCGTTTCCTGGGATCATGTGAGAGAGACAGAAGGGCTTTTCCTGTGTAATCAGTAACCCAAGGAGCTATCTCGAAAAACAGGTGACTTAAAACTAGGCTGCTCCTTAATTTTTTGAATTGATTATGCAGCAGTCTCCAGTCATAGAGTGAAGTCACCATCTACAGGGTAGGGGGCAGACAGCGGGATCTTTTGCTTTGCTTCCTTTCCAGATAATGGCCCAAGGCTCCTCAATGACCATACTACTTTGCTTTTCTTTCTCTTCCTTTCTTCCTCTCCTTTCTGTGAGCCACAACCCTAGCCCAACTTTATGTCAACTTAGATGGGGTTGCAGTTTGAATTTTCTTTTAAGATGGGGAAGAAGTGAGTGAAGTGTCTTCAGAGTGGGAGAAGCCCTTGTTCACATTTCGCAAACAGTAGCAACCTGTGTCCGGGTATGTTGTCCTAAAATCACCTCCACTGCATGAAGAATGGCAGTTGGGCTTGCTCTCCCTCTAGGGGTAGCTGGAGAGGCAGGGGAGGAAGCTTTGACAAGAAGTGCTGTTGAGTTTGGGAGAATGTAGGGAGAAAAAGAAAGCTGGAGGCAATGATGATGGATATTTATTTTGTTGGTGGGGCATGTGTGTGTGTGTGGTTCTCTTAGCAGGAGGCGGATGACCCTGCCCACTTGTTCCTGGATGGATTGGAAGCAGCCAAAGACGCCAGTGGCGCCCTGGTGGGCCGGGTGGATGGTGAACACTGCTTGCTTGATGGAATGTTGGAGGATGAAACCCGGCCGGGGGGATACCATTGCAGTCAATGTGACAGAGTCCTGATGTCCATGCAGGGGCTGCGTTCTCATGAGAGGAGCCACCTGGCCCTGGCCATGTTTACCCGCGAGGACAAGTACAGCTGCCAGTATTGCTCGTTTGTTTCTGCTTTCAGGCACAAGTAAGTGCTATTGGGGGGTCACTAGTGGTTACTGGGAGATGATGTCATAGTGGAAGGCACTAAGCTAAAGCAGAAGCTTGGATGAGTAAGAAGGCCCCACTCATGGTTCACACCTGCTGCTATGTTACCTGGAGCCTCAGTCACCTTTTCTGTAAAATGGGGCTGAGAACAGGAGATTGATCGGATGGCGTTAGATTTGGCAAATGCAGGCATTTTAAAAATGAGAATTGGAGGAATTGCTATGATTTACCCAAAGGTAAAATGGCATCTGTGGAGAGTAGATGAGTCTCCTGATTCATCGTTCAAACATTCAGCCAAAATCTAGTCATTGTTTGAGGAAGTAAAGTCCATTTAGAAAACTGAGTTGCTAAAGAGGTAAAATTAGGACTATTAACCCATGTGACCAAAGAAACATTGCTTGCAATTTTTCAAAAGATCTTGAAAGGTAAAGAAGTTCATGGATGCCAAAGAGTTGCTTGACATACAGGGAGATTGAGGAGAGGGAGCTTCCCATTACTCATCACAGCTTTGAAAGTGTAAATATGGAATAGGTGTGTAAGGCTTTTTGGGGCCATGGAAAGAGGGGTGGTTTTAAGAACAACTTTTTGTTGCCTTTCTCTTTCAGCCGTGTAAAAGAGAGATAAATATTCAATAATGCGTTTGGACAGTCTTGGATAAAGGTGACTAAGACTGACATGCTTTTTAAAACAATTTTTTTAATGAAATAAATGATGGACTATTTGCTTCTTACAAAAGATAAAGGGCCAGTTAGTGGTTGTTGAACAGAAGAAGGAGGTGGTGTTTTCACAGAGGTTAGGATGGGTTGTAAACACTTTATTATTATACAGAGCCTAATATCTAATCTTTGTCATCAGATCCATACATTGGCATAAAACTTGAAATACTTCAATTCAAGAAGTATTTATTGAACAGCATCTATCACATTGTCTGACGCACAGTGGAACTTTAAATAATTGTGAATAAATGAATATATCCTGTCCTAGGTACTGTACTTTTGGGAAATATAAAGACACAGGCCATGGTCTGTGGCCAGGGGAATTTAGGGTCAAGGGTTGGTTTATGAAATTAAAAAAAAACAAAACAAAACCCACTGACTCATCAAAATAAAGCACGTCTTTGAAAATATCAGTAAAATACTATGATGTGTCAAAGAAGAGAAATGTTACATCAGCTTTGGAAGAGTCAGGAAGGTTTTATGGCATAAGGAGCATTTGGGTGAAGTCTTAAAGTAGGAAAATAGGACTTGAATAGTTTGGAAAGGACATATGATGTAGAGGAAAAGCTGAGGGAGGAGACCATGAAGCTGACTGGGGCCCTAGCTGGGGGTTCAGTTTGACTAATCCTTAAGTTACATGTAAAGGAATAGTGAAAGATAAGGTCTAAATACTTTAAAGGAGACCATATTTGGAGTTTTAAATGCCAGGAAATAGTATTTCATAATTTAAATTGCTGGTAAAAGGAAGAGTCAAATTAGCAAAATAATTATAATTGCTAACATTTATTGCATCTCACTATATACCAGGCACTGTACTAAGGGCCTTTAAATATTACTTAATTTCATTCTCAAAACTCTCCTATAAGGTATGGCCCCATTATTATCATCTTATGAATAAGAAGAGTAAAGCCTAGAAAAATTAAGTAATTTGCCCAAGGACACACAGCCTATATGTAATGGCTGAGATTTTATCCCAGGTAGTCTGACTCCATAGCGTGTGCTCTTGAGATGAAAAAAAAAAAAAAAAAATCCATGGGGGCTGGGGGACAAGGAATTAAGAAGCAATAATAGTAGCTAGTTCAAGAAGTTAGGGAATGATTGAAGGAATGGATTTGCCTGACTTGGAAAAATTGACTTCATGCGTGGGATGAGGGACAAAGTAAAATACAAATGGCAACTAGGTTTTCAGTTTACTCATCTGGAAGAAAGGTTAGTGCCATTTATAGAAACAAGGAAATGAAGAAGAGAATTTGTTTTGTAGAAAACTCTCTGATGGGTTTGTTTAGAACAGGTTGAGTTAAAGAGAACTAAAGGACACCCAGAGGGAGCTGTCCAGGGGCAATTGAAAATGTTGCTTTGGAGCTCAGGACAGCATTATATGTTGAAATGGTAAGCAGTACCGTTCCCACATGAGGCATTTAGAAGGGAATTTAGTTCTCTGGAGTGCTGATACAAATTAGAACTTCCCACACCTTGTTTGGTAGATTTATTATTTTTTTAGGCTAATAATTATTATGAAGTACTAGGGGTTCGTTGTAATTAAATAACTCCCTTGTAAATTGCTTCTGGAAGACTTACAGCAAACATGGTTGTGTGTATCAGAAGGGATGTGCGGCCTTTTGACCACGTGGCTCCTTTAAACATGCATGCACTGTGCCTCCATATTAATATAGACCCTGGCAACAAGACAGCCCATTGCAAGAAGGTCAGCCACTTCGAAACCTCCCTTCCTCACTCTAGTGTTCACAATGAAAGTAGAATTAGAATTCAAAAAGAAAGTCAGCTCTTTTCAAATGCTAAATTTCTCTAATTCCCATTCTGTTATTTGAATAAGTTAGAGGACTAATTGATAGGCACTCTCACTGGCTTGGCAGGAAGCTTGAATTCACCCATATTGTACCTTCTCTTTAGATACACTCTTCCAATGATCAGAGCTCTAAGAAGGGACAATAAAGATTCTTACCATGACCTGTTACCACTGCCATATCTCTAAATCCAAAAAAAACTCTTGATCTCTTCCTTTAGCTTCCTGTCCTCTTAGAGTAGGTACAACTCTTGAAAATTAATTAATTAAATTGATAAATGCCATTATTGGAAAGTAAACAAAAGGACTTTGAACGACCTAGAAGTAGGATTCCTGGAAAAAAAGCAATGAGCAAATCCTCTATGCAATTTTTAATTTTGTCATTTTTCTTTTTGTTTTCCTTCTACATCAAGTTTGGATCGCCATATGCAAACCCACCACGGACACCATAAACCATTCCGATGCAAACTCTGCTCCTTCAAGTCCTCCTATAACAGCCGGCTGAAAACACATATACTCAAAGCTCATGCTGGTGAGTTGTGCATTGATGATGCACAAGTTCTTTAGCACTCTCTGAGTTTGAAACCTGATGATCTTTATTGAGTGAAATACTGTCCTGCCTTACACTTGAGAATGTTATTCTTGGGATGGATGTATATTCAGTTTTATTTTTACCTAGTAAAGAAAAAATAAAGAAAAAAGTAAAAGTTAAACAAAATCACCTAAATCCAAAATAATACAAAGCCTATGTCACCCATGTTATGGTTAGTTCGTTCGTCCTACTGACAAGTTAGAATTAGACTGTTGGTGATTTTTACAGAAATTTCTAAACTGCCTATACTTTCTAATTCAATTGCCAAGAATTGTTATATCTATTAAAAAGACTTTCCAGCTAAAATAAAGTTACCAACTTAAGGAAGTTAGAAAGGGCAAAGGGAACTCAAGATGTGTGAGATTTTTCAAGAGATACCCTTAGATATGTTTCCGTACATAAGACAGAAATGACTTTGGGTTGTGAGTGTCCAGCAGCTGTGCTGGTCTCTATCATATTGTTGTTCCATCTCATTACTCATTAGAAAAAATTGGAAATGAAAGAAGAAATACAGTCAGTCATCTATAATCTTATCTGAAGACCACTGTTGTTGACGTCTGATGTGTCATGACCCTTACCCACCAGGCTGTGCACTAGGCGTGTTATATGCATCATCTTCTTTAGTCCTATAATCGTCCTAAAGGGGAGGCATTGTGTCACATTCCTTGTGCCTTGTATAACCCTTGGTCACAGTTTGAACAGTGTTGTAAGAACTGCTCAGAACCTGGGTCCTTCACTTTCGCCAGCTCCTCATGCTCTGTGTAAACAGGACCATGTCTCTTCATTGTCTTCTGAGTGTTGGATTTTGTTGAACTGACTTAATGCAGTAAGATTACCCAGGTCTCCCAGTTGCCTCAAACTCCACTAGGAGTAAGGAATGGGACAGGGAAGTTAGCTATAGGGGCTTTTCTCTATCTTTTTGTATTTTTCTGTCTCTGGGAAATTTCTACTAAAGTCCTTGAAGTGAGTGGCTTCAGGGTTCAAATCACTGTTTTCTAACTTGTGTATATTGTAAATTATCCAGCTGGGACACTATCCTGGTGAGTTTTGCCCATAGGCCTTAGCCTTGTCAAAAGCACTTTTACCAGCGAGAGCTGGGAAGAGATGATTCGGCCTGTGGGAAAGACTTGAAGAGAGCATCAGAGCCTGCACACTGATGCCAGCGTATTAAGCTGAAGTGTCTGCTCTTGGAACTGACCCAAAAAACTGGCCTCCCTGTACTCACTGGCTGGCAGGAAGAGAGCATCCAGTAAGAGAGATTGGGAGCAGTGTAATTCAGTTCTTGACATACCTTGGAACCTTGGCCTCCATGACATTGCTTTGAGTGACTGAGTGGGGCTTGGCTTGGAAAAAGCCAGTACCTTTTCTGAAAGACTCTTGACTCATCTTGTCTTTTCTAGATAGATTATTTTATTTTATTTTAAAGAAGAAAAGGTAATGTGTGCTAACCCAAACATCTGGATTTGAATTCTCTCTCAGGTCGTGCAACTCACAGCCACCAGCAATATTCACACAACCAAGCTTGCATTAAAAGAAAAAAATGAAAAAATAGAATAAAGAGGGCAGTAGTATTCTATATATTGTCATATATATATTCATCCGTGGTGAGAGGAAGGCTTAATTACAGAACTTGGATGCTATACTCACTTCACATGTGAACCCATTTAGTAATTTTCATGGTGGCAGGAAAATAATAATCTCGGAAATGTAGGGACAAAGAATGATCTTCCAATACCTGTTTTTCTTACTTTTAATCCTTAGACCACACCTCTGTTCATTTTCACTGGTCCACAAAACTTTATGATTCTGTTTTCTCTTTTTTCTTCTCTGAGTTTTAAATGTCACCTTAAAAATTAATTTTAAAAATACATGTTCATTAGAGAAAGTTTGGAAATGAAAGAAGAAATACAGTCATTCATAATCTTGTTATCTAAACGCCACTGTTGTTAACATTTCATATATTTCCTTTCAGTCATTTTCTCTGTAATTATTTTTAATAGTTGTAATTCTAATGCAATTGAATATATATATTTAGCCTTTGTATTTACTTTTATTTTTATGTTATTATAAACTCCAAGAATTTATTTTAATTGAATAAAATAAATCATCAATAGGATATGCCCAGATTTACTTAATCTTTTCCTTATGGTTGTAAATTTAGGTTATTTCATACCTTTTTCAAGCATAAATGATGTATATTTCTAAGTAAAACTTTATATTTATTAAAGGATATCTTCTTATTACTCTTTGAAATGGAGTTACTGGGTTGGAAACATGAGCATTTCTAAGTCTATTGTTCTTAAAAGCAAAATGGCTTTCTGAATTGATCTTACCAGTGTATATATGTCCAACAATTTAAGCCTGCCCACTTCACACTCTTAGTTCTTAAAATGTAATTAATTTAACAGGTAATATATGGCGAAGGTAAATCACACTTTAACTTAATTTGGTCATGGTGATCTGTGTTGTATTTCAGTGGCATAAAATTAATTTTAAAAGTAGTGCTTATTTTTACTGAGAGGCAGTCTTTATTGAAGAATATTGGAGATAAACACACACACTGTACCCCCTAAACCCCCATGTTTACATATACAGCTCTCTTCCTTAGAGAAATGACTTATTTTTACCCATTTCTGTGCTATTGACTAGATAAGGAAATGGAGTTCTATGCTGAGGTTTATGAACTGGTCCAAAAATATATATATGTGGGATGAGAATGTGTATAGTTAGCAAGGAAGTACAGAATAGAATAGCACAACAGAGCTTGCACTGAATGACTTTGTGATTAAAAAGCCACTAATAGATCTTTGGAATAATAATTAAGCATGTTATTTTCTGGGACTGACAAAAAGGCCA
This sequence comes from Homo sapiens, assembly GCF_000001405.40. Taxonomy (NCBI): domain Eukaryota; kingdom Metazoa; phylum Chordata; class Mammalia; order Primates; family Hominidae; genus Homo; species Homo sapiens. The sequence continues at coordinate 106,938,538 of NC_000009.12, forward strand.
CCTTGAATGAAACCTGACATGGTCATTTCTAGTGTAGAGAGGGAGGGAAAGGGATTGGAAATTTTTCTAAAGGAGGTATCATGGGCAGTTGGGTTTGACTTCCTATTGGGGAATTAATTCATAGCTTCACTCCTGTAAGCAGAGCCCAAAATGAAAAAGGACCAGTTCACTAGATTCTGGAGCTCATGGAAGAGTTTCAACTCCAAAGGAGTACTGTGGTTGTGGCAGGTTGTTGGTCTGTGAGGTTCGTTCATAGAACATGAAGCTTGAGATGCGCTTCTCTAGCATGAGTTAACTGAGTTATCTTGTTTCCACCCTGGCCTTATACCCTTCTCCCCTCTTTTTCCTGTTCTATTTCTTGTCACCATCCTCTTCCAGGTGAGCATGCCTACAAGTGTTCTTGGTGCTCATTCTCCACCATGACAATCAGCCAGCTGAAGGAACACTCCCTCAAGGTCCACGGAAAAGCCCTGACCCTCCCCAGGCCACGGATCGTCAGTCTCCTCTCCTCACACTCCCACCACTCCTCCCAAAAAGCTACCCCGGCTGAAGAAGTGGAAGACTCCAATGGTAAAAATGGGCTTCCAAGCTGGAATTAACCACTCAGGGTTGAGGTGGGCTGGGATTCATTGCCAATCATTTTTTTTAGAGGAAAATCTTATGTGAAAACATGATGGTTCAAGTGAAGGAAGAAATATGAAAAAGTTGAAATGGTGTGGAAGTTGGAGTGGGAAGGGGAAATGAACTTGTTGAGCATCTGTGTGACGCCATGATGAAAATGGAATTCAGTGCTCATGGGAGTGTTGCTAGTGGAAAGAGCCTGTCAAGTGGGATGGATTAGTTTTGGATCGTTCCACTGTGGTTTCAAGCAAGAAAGCGAATACAGTACCAGGCCAATTTGTTTGTTTTTATTTATATCCTGTCTTGTTCTAAAAATATGTGCTGCGAAATGTTTGGGGAGACAGGTATGTACATTAATGACACAAAATTCAGAGTAGGAGTGCAAAGGGTGAATGAGTGGGGAAGTGTGTCTGACTGAGCCACGTGATACCTTAGGGGTGACATAGGGATTTCTTACAGCTAAAGGATGCTAAGGAGGCATGAGTTGGGAGGAGAGTTTTACTGTTTAGTTTTGGAGTTTCAGAAGAAATACAGGAAGCCAGGGAGAGGGTCTCCTCGCTAGCAATGTGACCAAAGCTGTAGGGGAGAGAAAGAGTCCAGACCTTAGGGCCTGCAGATATGGCATAGTAAGCAAAGGGATAGTTTATTGTTTTTATAAGACCAGGAAGCAGACCTGCTTGATTTCTCATCTCACCTCAAATGATTGCAGAATCAGCTGCTTAGAAGAGAAGGAGAGGAAGTCTGCAGATTCTTCGAGGTAGACCTGCTCTCTTCCAACCCCTTCTAATTCTTGAATCCCTTCTGCGGGAGCCAGTTAGCTACCATCAGCTTGAGTACTTCCCAGGTCAAGGAATGACTGTCTCCCAAGATCTACTGTTACATTCTTGGGAGGAGCTTAGTGGACTGGAAAGAAAGCAGAACAAAAGCTTGGGTTTGAATCTCACTTCTCTCGATGATGGTCACGTTTCCCTGGGCAATCTTAGCTTCTTGTAGCCGTATGTAAAATTGTATAGTGATATCTGCCTCAACTGATTATCTTCAGAGATTAATGAGAAAAGATACGCACCTGTAAAATACCTAATACAGCCTCTGACACATAGTAGGAATTTAATAAAAGGCCGTTTTATTTCTGTACTTTTCATCCTTTGGTTGCAATTCTGGCCTTTGGGACCATTTATAACAAGTACGAATTTTGGTTATTTTTAATGTGTGTGTTTAAAACAAGAGACTCTTCAGATAACCTGATGATCTGACAGCCCAACTTGTCAACATGGTCTAATTCTCAGATTACCAAAAGAGTAAATGAGTAATCTTTATTCATGAGGTCTGTGAGCAGACACCTGTAGGAGGAAATGAAATGGTAAGTCCTAAGATGAAAAGCTGCTTTTTAAAAAATTTTTGAAGCTTGGTGGTCTTTCCTTTGCAAATCATTTATAGTGTTCAACACTATAGCTCCTTACTGGTGTCCCGGCCTTAAAGGACTTCTGTTTAACAAAGAAGGCTTGTTATGATGGCTACGACTTGTAATGAAGTGACCACACAATCTCCTTAGCTACTGTGTAGTAGTTTAAAATGGGGAAGGAAGCCTGTAGTGTTTTTTTTTTCTCTTCTGGGAAAATTCAGAGTCACACATCTAGGGCTGGGTGAGAGTACCTGTGGAAGGGTAAAGAAAATGTCCCCTTTTCACCTGAAATCTTCTATTCACCAGGAAAGGTTGGTATATTGCAACCAGAAGGGCAAAATCTAACTTGACTCAAATTGTAGGATCTGTATTAATGTGATTTTTAATTAATTGTTTTCATCTGACATGGAAGCTACATTTGTGGAGCTGTTTGGATGAAACAGATTCATCTCAGTGCCATTGCTAGCAAAGGCTTTTGCTGGGACATTTTTCTCAATGTCATACCTTCTTTTTCCTTTGTCTGTCTTCCTTGAAAGGTGGGTCTCAGTCAGAGGTCAAGGGAATCCTTTAAACCCACCCACTGCATGTATCATCATCCTCTGCATAGACTGAGAAGAGTTGAGTTCAGTTATACTCTTGAGCCTGTACTCTCTTCTGAGGGCTGTACTATGCACGGAAGAATCAGAAATGAGTATAGTATTTTTCTGGCCCTCCGACAACTTAAAATCAACTGTTTAGATGATACTATTAGCGCTTACATTTGAGCTAACCATAACCCTAAGCCTCAGGCCTAATCTATTTGTGGAGTGATTTCAGATTCTTGGAGGATGGACTGTGGGGAGGAGTGGGTGTCACAGAAATATGACAAAGTGACGTTGAGTAGCTCTCTCTATAACATAGATATTCTGTTTTTGTTTAGCCACAGGGAAATAATTTGCAATATATAAAAGGGATTCTTACTTTTATCCTTATGAAAGAACACAGTAACTGAAAGCTCTGTGTGGTAACTATTTAGTGATCCGTACACAAAAGTCATTGGGCCTGTACTGTTTTTAATGTATATAAATGACCTATATCAATGGATCAGCAGTGATTAATTTGATGACATAAAAGCTGATTAGATGAGGTAAACAAAAAGAAGGCTATTCACATGAATGAATAATTCTGTGGAAAGAGTAGTTAATAATTGTTCATTCAGTAAGTATTTTCTTGAATCCTTACTATAGATTTTGTATAGTTTTGCATGGCCAAGAGTGGCTGGGCAGGCCCAAAGTGGGAAGACTTTGCTAAGGAGCCGGATGGTGGATTCCTAGAAACAGCTAAGTCTACAGGATGGAAAAACAGCTGTGGGGCTAGATAGTAGCCTGTAAATTAGGCCTTGAATGGTGTTTGAAACACTCATGTGAAATCCAATTGCACATTTTAATAGAGAGAAGCTGTGGGGCTATTGGCTCACAGTTAAGGTTTCCCACACTGCAGATGCCAGGACAATGTGAACACACCAACCAAAAATGTGTTGCAGGCCTGGGGGGAGTCAAGATCCATAAAACCAGGGAAATCACCAGTGTGTCTTTGGCTTTCTGATTCCGTAGTGAGGGATGTGAATAAAACAAGTTGACATGCTCCTGTTATTTGCAGTGGTCAAATGCTTGCCGTCTTGAGAGTGAGCCAGTCTTCTCTGGCAGAGGGAAACAGCCTGAAAAGGGAGGTTCTTTCTAAGCTGCTCTCCCTCCCAACCCAGAGGAGGGAGGAAAGTGGAGAAAGCAAAAATGAGAAGGTAGAGGGGAGATTTCACTCCAGCTGCCTGGCCACACACCTGTTCTGTGCTTCAGCCCTGCTCTTGGGCTCTGAGCTGTCAGTGTTGACATGTTTCACCAGCACACGAATCCTCTATATATTCATGATGATCAGTTGTTGGAAAGAAAAGCAACGGCTCTATGGTATTGGTTTTGTGTATAAGATAATGGGCAATGACATGTAATTGCTATTCTAAACAATGCATTAAGAGGAAACAATAAGGTTGTCAACAAAGGGAAATGCTCTGCTGTGTTTGTGTTTACTGTGTTCCTTCTCCTGCCATATACAACACAGGACTAGCTTTTATCCGGCTATTTCCAAGTCTCTGCTTTCAGTACAGAAAAATACACATATAGGCACAGCTGTAAAATAACAAAGAAACTAGGACAGCGTAGTTTAGCTATGAGATTTGTTTTAGGTCTGAGAAGCTACACAGGACATGGGCAATGGATACGTAACTTAAAATTCAACTATGTGTTTTATAAGAAGTCAAGCCAGTGGTGACATTCCATCTTTTTCCTCCCTCTAGTTTCTCCCGGGGACTAATAAGTTATTTTGTTTCATCTATCTATGCAGTTATGCTATGGAATTGCCTGCTTTAGAAAATAGTTACTATGATGCATTTAGGACAAAAACAAAAATCAGACCAGGTGCAAAATGAATAAGGTGAATGATGGTAACATAGTTTTGTTTTGCGCGCGCGTGTGTGTGTGTGTGTGTGTGTGTGTGTGTGTGTTTGCTGGTGCCTTAGTTAGCAACCCAGAGAAAACAGAAAGAACACTTGGTTGTGATACCCCTCCATTTATAATATAGAACTTGATATAGTCCTCCCAAAAGAGAAGTCTGTGATATTGTGAATTAATAGAAAAATGTTGCAAGGAGCTTGGCAATTTCCTTTTGTACCGATTTTTAAATAAATTTCAATTGGTTTTTCTGCTCTAAACTCTAGAATAATATTTGACAAACACTATTTTTATCAAGACATTTCTCATCAAGGAACCACATGTACTTATTGTCTGTCATATCAAAGTCTTCAGCATTGCATCCAAAGTTCACCATTTAGTCATGCTTTCTCCATTGCACAGTGGCTTCACTAGCAAATACTGACATTCCTACCATCTCTCTACTTACTACCCTAAGCATTTAATGTCTTCCTTTGTACTTCTACTCACTTTCAGTAAGCTCTGCTGGGAGGTTAGGTGGATTTCTTTCCTGTCTGCTTCTCTCTACTAGTCCATGACTTTCACTTCCTTTAAGGATTGATTTTCACTGGCCCCAAACTACTCTTATTACTCTTCCTGGTGCTGTATTAGTACTTGCAGATATGCTATTTTTTTCTGTCCCCTAATTTTCCAATATGGACAGTTAGGTAAGTACTTATTAAATACTTATTCTTTTCATGGACCAGTGGTATCTTGGAGGCATCAGTTTTCAGTTCTGTTAATTGTACTGGGTCCTCAAATACATTTTAACTCCACTAACCAAATTACACAGGCTGAGTTTATTTCATTTCCATTTAAGAGGCAGATCAAAAGACAATCTGAAGATGAAACCTTAGGGAATGCTCTAACATTAATTCTCTGACACAATTACTCTGCCAAGATAAAAAAATCTTCCTTGACAAAGAGCGTTTTAAATATTGTCATTGTTCCCTGCATGATGAGACCTCCTGTATAGGTGGGAAGCTGAAGGTTGAGACAGGGTATAAACCCTTCTGTCCCTCAGAATGATATAGAAAGTATGATGGAGCTGGAGAAATGAACATTTCTAGTATGGTCAGCTGTTAGCAGAGTTGCTTCTTGGAGCAAGTGCGCACAATTATTGATCTTAGAGTGGGCTAATTTGTTCTCTGTGTCTCTGTCAATATACAGTGTTTGGTTGCAGTTAAATTCAGATTCAAAGATGATATAGCGATAAACTGACCAACAAAACTTGTCAATGAGTAGAGCTTTCTATTCTACCTGAAAACTTTTCCCATCAGACTTTTAAAACAATATATTGGTTAGAAGAAGAGACTCATTTGGTGAGACTCAGTTTTTCTAAACATTAGAGATTGGCAAACTTTTTCCTTTAAAAAAATTTAAATTGACACATAATAATTACACATTTGTAGCATACAGTGTGATAATTTGATACATGCATATGATGTGTAATGATTAAATTAGGGTCACTAGCATTTCCATCACCTCAAACATTTATCATTTCTTTGTGTTGGAAACATTCAAAGTCTGCTCTTTAAACTGTTAGTAAATATACAATCAGTTGTTGTTTATTCTAGTTATCTTAAGATGCTGTAAAATTCTAGAACTTGTTTCTCCTATCCAGCTATAATTGTGTATCTATTTACCACCCTAATGCCCTTCCCAGTCTCTAGTAATCACTATTCTACTTGCTACTTCTATGAGATCAACTTTTCTAGCTTCTACATAGGACATAAGAATGTACAGTATTTGTCTTTCTGTGCCGGCTTATTGGCAATTTTTTTCTATAAAAAGGGCCAGACAGAAAATATTTTCAGCACTGTAGGTTATGCAGTCTCTGTCACAACTACTTAATTCTGCCATTGTAACGTGAAAGTAGCCATAGACAATATGTAAACAAACGACATGGCTGTGTTCCAATAAAACTTTATGTACAAAAACAAAGGAAAGGCCCATGAATGATACTTCACTAACCCATGCCATAGATGAGATGATTGGGGGGAATAATTACAGCAATACCCATGAGATTAATCCAGTCTTTAATAAATGTCATTCTGAGCCTTTATATTTAACATATGGAATACTCCTAGATGTCACTTAAAAATGTAACTTGACCTAAATATATTATTAGATTCATATATGAAATGTAAGGTATCAGATGAAGTTTTAAAAATATTTGTGCATGAATTACATTTAAGCTTAAAAGGAAACCCTTCTCTAAGAATTATGTTGAGTCTATCAACTCATTTAACCTTGGCTGCAGCAATGCTTGACAACTAAAAAATTAAGATCTGGGATGCTTTATTTTTGAAGAGAAGCTTTTCAGATATCTAAATAGGTCAGACATAAAATTCAGCCTTTAAGAGGATCCAGTTAGTTGCTAGGGCATCAGCCCTTCCACACAGGTTCCAATTGCAATCAGATTAAAAGAAAAAATGAGGTGGTTTCTTTAAAAACGACAATCATGAAATGGAGACTCCCAAGTGAATAATTAATTGTAAAATACAAAAATTTACATCGTTTATAGCACATGCGATGTAAGACATAATTTTAATGGCTTGACTATAATTTTTAATAGGTTCTGCTGGTCTCAAAATTATCTGACCAGATACTAACTAACCTTCTCTTTTTGACATCAGAATTTCTCCATCAAAATGTGGCCTAAAGTTCATTTTAACACTTACTATGTTTCTATATTTCTACTGTAAAGACTTAAGAGGTCTGCAACTTCAGTGGAGCAAAGTGGCATTGAAGACCCCGAATCTTCTGTTATTACCTGGAAATCTACAGGGATTAAATGTTAAGACTCTGCCTCAGTGGCAAAGAGCAACCCTCCAATATTATCACCACTCTGAACTCAAAGGTCACGTGATACACGCTTCCCAAGATACCAACCTGCCTGGGATTTCTGTGACTTTGAATTAGCCATAGTTTTGTGGCTGCTATCATCCTTTGTGCCAGAGATGAAAACATTTCAAGTATAGGCTTTCCATGTCCTGGGAACTTAGTCAACTAATTCATCTCCCTGTTCCCATGCCAACAAAAACATTGTTCATCAGAAATGTAACCATATACTACTAAACTTATTCAGAACTAGTTCCCAGCAACACTGGAGTTTGCTTCATAATTCCACATCTGACTTTCAAATCTCTGGGTGAACTGCTTGGAGATTACTTCAAGTCTTCCAGACCTCATTTGTGGAAAGTATCTAAAAGAGAAGAAATCTACTTTATTCTTTAGCAGAAAAATATGTCAGTCATTAGCTGAATCATCTAAAGCAATTAATCTCAGTTATTTTTTAAAAGAAAGAATTTTTCCTTGTCTTCTCATTGCCCACTTCAAATTTTCTGTCCCTGGAGCTGAAGCTAGTATTTTAGCCCAATTTTACTTGAGATAAAAATCCCTCAAACTGTCTTGAGACTTCTTATGACTCATAGGTCTCTCCAGTCTTTCTGTTCTGTGTGAGAGGATTTTACATAGGCAGAAGGAAGGGTATTTGAGTTGGGAGAAGTCACAAGAGTGAGCCATGATTTAGAGGTAGAAATCCTGCAACAGCCTTGCTAGAGTCGAGGGTATGTCCTCGGAAAGATGGGTATGTAAAAAAATAATTTTTTTAAAAGTGTGAAGAGCCCCGGTGTTGTGGCTCGTGCCTGTAATCCCAACACTTTGGGAGGCTGAGGCAAGAGGATCTCTTGAGGCCAGGAGTTCAAGACCAGCGTGGGCAACATAGCAAGATCCCATCTCTACAAAAATATAAAAATAAAATAAAATAAAAGTGGGAGGTGAGAATAAGATGCCAGAAATAACTTTTTAGCTACAATTATTTTTTTGAAAAAATAAATTACATACATTCTGATTGTATGTCCCAGGAAAGCATGTCCAAATGTTGTACACATATTTTTGTTAACATGTTTTGTTAACCGTAAATAACAACCAACAGAAAAATCCCAGTGGTGGTGATTAAACAAAAATGGTGAAATAGCAAATGGCCAAAAGTGACATGAGGGGCAAGTATACAGCTGGGAGAATCTGCTTGCTCTCTGCTGGATTCAGTCCGTTTCTGTTTAGGCTCAGGAAATGATATGTTCCTGCCATTGGGGCTCTTCCACTTTGCAAACAGTTTCCGAGTCGTCAAGTTCAACCCAAAGGAAGTGTTTGGCTGAGAATTTAGGGCCCAGCTAAAGTTTCATTTCCCAGCACACTGCTTGTGGAGAAGTCATTCCAAGGCTAGGTTCTTCAGCTTCCATGGGGACACAAAACATTCTTAGATGACTCGCACAGGTCACTCACTCTCTTATGTCATCTTTTATTTTGATGCACTGTGAGTCCTCCACCAGAGCTGCTATGATAGCCACATCGAAGAGATGCAGGACCTTCTAAACTCTTAACCTATGTGTTGATTTTTAGCACTGCTAGTTATTTTTTTCCCCTTTGGCCAGTTTGAAAGTCATCCATTCTGGTTTACATAACGGTTCTGCATGTCTCTTTGTTCAATTCCCAAGTGATGAAAAATAATTCTTATTTTTTAAAATTCTACCAATTGCCTTAAATATGTCATCTGCTTTAATATGTCTAATGCATTGGAGGTATAAATGATTAATCTCATTTGAAAGAGAAGGGCACGAGGAGTGAAATGGTGAGTCAGACATCACAAAGCATGTACGTGGTAGAGCTGTTTCATTCACAGGTTTGTCCAATTCCAGAGCCTGTGCCCTTGAACTTTGTGCCTCAGTGGGGTCTAGTAGCAAAAACACATACCCAAGAAATGATCCAGAGTGGTGAAGCCTTGGCTGCTTATATGTCTGTGGGCTCTGGAATCTTCTACAGGAAATGAAAGACAAGTGTTTATTACTTATTGATATTTGGAGCTTAAGTTAACAGATGTACAGATAATATTAAGTTAAAAGACCAGAATAGAATAAAGTGAGAAATTGTATATCTGCATTTGAATGGCTATAACTTTGGATAGGAGAAGGAATTGAGTCATGTAGGGCTTCATGGAAGAGGCAGTACTCAAGCTGGACTTGAAGGGTGAGTGGATGTATGCAGGTGGATGGAAGGAGTATCAGACATGAGCAGAGATACAGGAGAAAGGATCCTGGGACTGCAAAAATCCAGTGTGGCTGGAGCAAAGGATGTGTGGTGAGGTTAGTGGAAGGGTAATTAGTGAAGGAAGGAGAGGTAGAGCCAGACGACAGGAGTACTTAACACTGGGAAGAGGACTTTGGATTTATTAAGAAACAGACTCAATGGGGAAGACTAGCAGCAAGATTCCTTCCTCTCTGGAAGTGCCAGGGTACATTTGAGCTATAAGTGCATTCAGCTAGCATCAATAGGTCTTCAACAAGGAATGTGCAATGAAATCAGTCATGGGTAGTAGTCACCTTCTTTTGAGATGGCTGCATAGAATTTTTACCTTCTGATGACAAAAGTAATACCAACTCGTGACTAACGAACAGCTTTATGGCAATACATAATAAAATGTAAGGGTCACCCATCATGCCAGCCTCTCCCTACCCAGAATAATCTCTATTCACAGTTTGTTGAAGTCATCTAGATATTTGTTCTATGAGTATACAAACATAGGTTGTCATTTAGTTTAGTTTTTTTTTTTTCTTCAAAACTGAACCGTACTACACAAACTATTTTTCTTTCATGTGTTTTTGCTCTCACTATATAGGTTCCATCACCACATGACTTACTATAGCTTTGAAATATAAGGATTCATATCGCAAAAATAATTCCTTTTCAAATAATAAATATTGAGTACTTAAAGGTTTCAAATATATTTTTATGTATAATAAATTATATGTATATTATATTTAAGGTGGGATTCTCAGAGTTATAGAAGGCCTTTGAGATTTTGCCAATCAAAAATTCATTAATTTTATCTTAAGGCTCACTCACCTCCTCAAAAATTACTCAAGTAGAGTCTGTTTCCCCACTACTTACTTGAGACTTAATACATTTACAGTATTGGTGAACAGTTCTTAAAAGACAAAAATCAAGATTACAGACTGCCTAGACTGTTCAGAGTAATGGGCTAGAAATAAGACTTTGTGAAAGGATAAATACAAAATAAGTTGGGTAGCTGATGACCCTTGGCATTTATTTCCATTCCTGGACTTGCCAAATATTCTTATAATTATTAGCTACCTTACCTGTGTCTCCAGCTAAACTGTGTGCTCTCCGAGGTCAGGGACCATTTCCTATTCATTTCTAGAGCCCTAGCACTGGGTAGGCCATTCAATAGATATTTCTTAAATTGTTTTGAATTAGGACAGCAAAAGCAACCGCACACAAGGAAAGCCAAGAGAACAATTTATGTGTGAACAAGCCTGGGAATCTGGAAAAAGCCAATGGAATCTGGCTGTGTGTATAGCAAGATGTGCCATCCCATGTTACTGCACTTTTCATGCATCATTCCCTTGTCCTTGAGTTAACTAACTTCTCCCTTCCTCCCACCCCAGTGGCAACACCATAGCCCTTTCAACTTTCTGCAAATGAAGCAACTAATTCCTTTTTTTCCAAGCAGCCACGGAGACAAGTGGGTACCTTCCTTACTTTCTGCCACCTCTTCAGAGTACTTCTACTTCCTTTGTTTAATGATCCTTTTTCAAATGCCTGCTTCCTGCTTATTTTCTTCCTCTCTTTTGGAGTATTCTTTTGTCTTCCTCTATGAACTCAGTGACTGGCTCACAGCCTTGCTTTCCAATCCAAATGTAATCTTCATGCTCTGGAATTACAATAGACTAGACTCAATGGTAATAACTCAACAGACACTTCAGTCGCCTAAGCTAGGGAAATTTGTCTCCTTCCTGACTGTCCTCCAGCTGCCCACCTGTGGCCAAATTCACCATAACAGCTCCGTCTCCAGCACCTCAAATTTGCCTTTACTCTGACCACTGTGGGTGGATCTCCTTCCCCATCCAACCTAGACCTGACCAGAGGGTTAGCCGTTTCAAAGGGGCTTTCTCCAGCATCCTGGTTTCTCTCGTCCCCTCGTCCTCTGGTTTCCAACTTACCAGACTCCAACCCTGAATAACCTTCACTCCTGCCCTTCCTCTGATGTTAGCCAGTCTTTCTGATTCTAACCTCCATCTTTTCCAATCTGTTTTCCAGGATATCTTTGTTAATCACAAATCAAATTTACTTTTCAAAATAAATTTGAGCTGAGTCAGACTTATCCCTATGTAATGTCAGTTTACACCTAAGTATTTCAAGGTATTTTCTTAAGTGAAAGAGACAGGAATAGAGCCACAACCAATGTGCTAGAAGTTGCAAATAGCTGCAGTCTATCTTACTTGTCCCAAACTAAATGGAGTGAGCAGCTGTGTGGTTAGTAGCTGTGGCAATCACAAATTATTGTCCTTGTGAGTTGTGATTTTATTGTTACTCTGATTTTATAGTATTTTAAAATTTTGCCCATGGGTAAGTTTTTAATTAGGGATACAGAGAAGGAAAGATGAGGAAATTCACATCTACCTTGCATGTAAGCAAGAGTAATGCCATCAATATGTCTATTAGAAGAAACATAATAATTGTCATAACTAAACCACAGGCAGACAGTGAAGTGTAAGTGCAGTTCCCTATTAGCACATTAAAATTGATCAGTTCTGTGTGTTGTTCTGTGGACAATAAAATAAGATCATTTTTGCTAATATGGTTACAGTATACTGTTGCATCTTAGCTATGTTATCTCCATAACGGAAGTCTGGAAAACAATAACTCTTTAAAAAATTAAGTTCAGGCCAGGCGTGGTGGCTCGCACCTGTAATCTCAGCACTTTGGGAGGCCAAGGCAGGCGGATTGCCTGAAGTCAGGAGTTCAAGACCAGCCTGGCCAACATAGTGAAACCCCATCTCTACTAAAAATACAAAAATTAGCCAGGCTTGGTGGCGAGCGCCTGTAATTCCAGCCACTCCGGAGGCTGAGGTGGGAGAATTGCTTGAACCCAGGAGACAGAGGTTGCAGTGAGCCGAGATCACACCACTGCACTCCAGCCTGGGCAACAGAGTGAAACTCCATCTCAAAAAAAAAAAAATTTAAGTTCAAGGTTTAAGTAAAATATTGATAAGATTTGCTTTTTCTGTTTTAAAATGAAAGCTTTTTAGTTACTTTTTGAATAGCTTCATTATTATGTGCCTCTACCCCTATAACTTAACAAAAAGGTACATAGTACTTTTCACTGTACTTCTTTCTCTTCTGATTTTTTGGGGTATTTTCTAAATCACGGCATGCCTAGGAGAGAACGTTGAGTAAATAGATATCATCCACTATGTGTTGCCAAGAGCAGAATAAGAGTTGGAGAACTTGAGGTCGGAGAAGTAATTCTGTGCAAGTGTAGGTTTAAGATTTATTTATTTATTTATTATCTTTTTCCAAATTGAGAGAAAGCAAAAAACAAGGGTAAGAAAGAAGCTTTCAAAACTATACTGTGCTGCACACGTTGGTGGTTGTTTTTATATTAATTATCATAATCCCAATGAACAGAGGTGACTCTACTGGGACTGGCCATATAAAGCCACTGTTAATAAAGTACTGAGAGCAGCCCAGCCGCACAGCACTAGCCCAGGCAGAGCAGCTTTCACTGTGCTCCTGGGCTTCCTGTATCCAAAAGGGGAAGGAGGGTTGTTGACAGCAACGGATCTGCAACATTTGAGGGTACCATAAGCCTGTCCAAGTTCCACCCCAGGCCTTCTTGCTTGCCTCAGCCCCAATCCGGCACTCTCACCCTGGGGAAGCATCCAGATGTTCCATGGAACCTCTTCTCCAAGTCATAACAGTGTTGTGTTTTTTTTTTTTTTTCCAGTGGAATTTTGGAGTCGCGGTGCTGTAGCGGCATCAAGTGTGACTCTTTCGGTGTATTGCTGGGCTCATTTTGATTGAGCACATACCAGGAGGGATTGTTTTCACCCAACTGGAGCTAGTGAACATTAGGGGCAAATGATCTTTTTGAACCCACTTCTCCGTATAGATCATCTTTACTTAATGGTGTACAGATCACACGGGAGATGCTGGAACCATGAGTTTGAGATTTGGCTTGAAAGCTGCTGCAGGCTCAAGTCCAGGAAGTACCATTCACATTGTTGTTAATGAAATGTACAGCCTTAGGTAGAGGTCCTGTCTAGCTCCCTATCACACATGCATGTCCTTAGTTAAAGCATTTACCCTCTCTGAGCCTTGGAGTTTCTAATATGCAAAATAATGATGCCGACTTTATGGGGTTATTTCAAGGATCAAATGAGATAACACAATGGAAGTACTTTCATATTCTAAATTACTGTAGAAATAGTAGCTATTATTAAAATACTATAGTAGAAGCAAATTTGTTTTCAATTTATGATCCTTTTTAATCAACCATAGAATGGGTTTAAGTAAAAAAGGAAAAAATTTCACATCTAGCCTCAAGCTGAATGAAGTTTCCTTACATCATGAGCTTTCTTGGAAGCCTAAGACAGTTCAGTGTTTGGAAGGTGGTGCTTAATCTGGAGCCTTGTTGATATAAATTTATCTGAACTTCAGGGCTTGGTTGGAACCACCCAAATAAGAAACTCCTTAGCACTTGATACTCTAATGGGCTAGTGGAATGCATTGATGAGTCCCAGTGTTAGACATCATTACTATAATTATTACTGACATTAATCGATGATCATTTTTAATTAATGATAACTATCACTTATTGCATATCTACTGATTGAGTACTTTGTAAACATTGTTTCATTTTATTTAAGCCATACAACAATCCCATGAGACAGGAACCTCCATGACTAGCTCCTTGCTGTTTAGGAAGGAGGAAAATAGGCTTAAGCAAGTTAAGTGGTGTGCCCTGGGTCATAGTTAAATCCAGCAGAGTTGAGGTTAGGGGGCACATCAGCCTGACTCCAAAGTCTGTTTACTGTGCCACTGCTTCCCTAAGCCTCAGTTCTTAGATGTACTGTTTTTCCCCAGGCAAATCTTAAAAAGGTTATACATGAACCCCAGGAAAGTGCTCTGTGTTTGAAATATTAAAACCATTCTTGGATGTGACCTTCTGCGATCTTATCTTCCAAATCTCTTGGAAGGAAAAAACCAATAATCCCAACTTCTACTTTCTCACCACTCACTCTTTGCTTTTCGTAAACTGCTAGACTCAGTGTTCTGCCTTCAGCATTTTATTGAAACCACTTTCATGAAGTGATCTAATACGGGCTAACTGCAGTGGCATTTTCTCTGGGAAGGAGTCATTCCTTCTTGCTGTTTACACCTGCTGCCTCCTTGGCTCCCCCTCCCTCTCTCTGGAATTCCTTGCAGCATGACCTTGATCCCTATGACTATAATGAAATAGCTTTCACAAGGATCATCAGTGACTTCAGACAAACAAGGTCACGGCCTCTGCTCTTGCCTCATCCTTCTTTTTTTGTCTGTGGCATTTAAAACTGCTGACCTTCCTCCTGGGGAAATTCTCTTCCCTTGGTTTTGGTCTTGCTATGTGTTTCAGGCTCTCCTCCAGCCTCTCTGATCATGCCTTCCCTTTACCTTGTTTTTGCCATGTTTCTCCTGCTCCCCTTACATGTACTTGGTTCTCGTCCTCAGTTCTCTTTGCACTCTCTCTCTCTCTTTACAGATATATGAAGTCAACTTGCCCTCTTCTGATGCCACCAATACTTCCAGTGCTAACCTCTCATGTTAAGTCTGAGACCCTCTGTTCTAACTGCTCCCTACCTTCTCCACCTGCGGGTCTCATTCAACCTTCATTTCAAAGGTTCTAAAATGGAACTCATTAATTTCCTACTAAACTTGTCCCTTTGCCAGAGCCCTTGGGACCTAGCTAATATCCTCTGCCACTCCAGGTCTTGTTGGACCCACGTTCCATCAACCAGTCATTTGTTGTCTGCTTAGTCCTGATGTTTATATTGCCTTAATTCTTCTCACATCCATCTCCCTCCTTCCCATCCTCATCTCTTACCTAAGCCATTAATTACCATGTTTATCCCACCTGCAAAGTCCTCCATTCATTCTATTCTAAGCAAGGTTAAGAGTTCAAATCATCCTCCTATTCAGAAGTCTTTAACAGCTCTGCATGGCCTGTGTATTAGTCCGTTTTCACATTGCTATAAAGAACTACCTGAGACTGCGTAATTTATAAAGAAAAGAGGTTTAATTGACTCACGGTTCTACATGGCTAGGGAGGCCTCAGGAAACTTATAATCAAGGTGGAAGGCAAAGGGGGAGCAAGGCACATCTTATATGGTGGCAGGAGAGAGAAAGAGAGTGAGGGGGGGATGTGCCATACTTCTAAACCATCAGATCTTGTGATAACTCACTTACTGTCACAAGAATAGCATGGAGGAAACTGTCCCCATGATCCAGTCACCTCCCACAAGGTCCCTTCCTTGACACGTGGGGATTACAATTAGAGATGAGATTTGGGTGGGGACACAGAACCAAACCATATCAGCCTGTTTAAAAGAGGAAAAAAAAAAAAAACTCAGTCAATATTCTCCATGTTTATACCCAGCCTTTTCTCTTTCCATCAGCTGCCTCATTCTCCCTATATTCTAGCCTAACTGGAATGAGCATCTCTCTCCTCATCCTTTTGCCTTTGTTCATGTTATGTCCCCTTTCCTTCATCTCCACATGCCCAGGTACTACCTGTCTTTCAAAGCCACTTGCAAATTCCTTCATTTCTGTGATGCAACAGTGATCTCCCGAGATGTGAGTCAACTCTTCCTCTGAAATCCCTCAATGCTGTGCCCTACCTCTCTTAAGAACATGTAGTTCAGTCTACTGACTCCATAATATTACCAGGAGGGAGCTCTTTAGGAGCAGGGTTTTTGTTATTTTTTTATTCTGAACAATGAATATAAGGCTGCTTCCTTCCTAGAGTAGATGTCCTGTAAATGTAAAATGAAAATTTGTTGTGTCCTGTAAATAGTCATGGTAGTAAAGTAGTAAATCAAGATTTGAATGCTTTTCTGACTCCAGAGCCCCACTGTCTTCTGGCCACGCTACTAACAACAGATAATGGACTCATGGGCATTTGTTTGATTGTTTGAGCACTCACTCATCTTAGTGTGTGTTGCTGTAATCTCCCCTAACAACCTGAGAGCTCTTGAAATATGAGATCTGATTATCTTTGTATCTATCAGGTATCTAACATACAGGAATACCTTGGAGATGTTGCGGGTTTGGTTCCAGACCACCTCAGTAAAGCAAATATTGCAATATAAAAGTCATACAAATCTTTTGGTTTCCCAGTACACATAAAAGTCATGTTTACACTATACTGTAGTTTACTAAGTATACAATAGCATTATGTCTAAAAAATGTACATATCTTAATTAAAAAATGATTTATTGCTAAAAAATGCTAATGATTATCTGAGCTTTCAGTGACTCATAATCTCTTTGCTAATGAAGGATGTTTGCCTTGATGTTGGTGGCTGCTGACTGATCAGGGTGGTGGTTGCTGAGGATTGGGAGTAGCTGTGTCAGTTTCTTAAAGTAAAACAACAATGAAGTTTGCCACATTGATTGACTCTTCCTTTCACAAAAGTTTTATCTGCAGCATGCAGTGCTGTTGCAGTGCTATTTGATAGCATTTTACCCACAGTAGAACTTCCTTCAAAATTAGAGTCAATATTCTCAAACCCTGCCACTACTTTATCAGCTAAGTTTATGAAATATGCTAAATCCTTTGTTGTCATTTCAACAGTGTTCGCAACATCTTCATCAAAAGTAGTCTTCACCTCAAGAAACCACTTTCTTTGTTCCTCTATAAAAAGCAACTCCTTATCTTTGCAAGTTTTATCATGAGATTTTATCATGAGAATCAGTCACCTCTCCAGGCTCTACTTCTAATTCTGGTTCTCTTGGTGTTTGTACCACACCTGCAGTTACTTCCTTCACCACAGTCTTAAACCCCTCAAAGTCATCCATGAGAGTTGGAATCAACTTCTTCGACACTCCTGCTAATGTTGATATTTTGACGTCCTCCCATGAATCACAGATGTTCTTAATGTCATCTAGAATGGTGATTCCTTTCGAAAAGTGTTTTATTTTACTTTGCCTAAGTCAGAAGAATTCATCGGAAGAATCACTATCTATGGCAACTGAATCCTTATTACCTGTATTTCTTAAATAGTAACTCTTGAAATGGAAATTACTCCTTGATCCATGGGCTACAGAGTGGATATTGTGTTAGCAGGCATGAAAACAACATTAATCTCCTTGTATATCTTCATCAGAGCTCTAGGGTGATGAAGTTCATTGCCAATGAGTAGTAACATTTTGAAAGGAATCTTTTTTATCTGAGTTGTAAGTCCCAACAGTGAGCTTCAAATATTTAGTAAACCATGCTGTAAACAGATGTGCTATCATCCAGGCTTTGTTGTTCCATTTATAGAGCACAGAGTACAATTAGCATAATTTTAAAGGATTTTTTGAATGGGAAAAGCACTGCTGTCAACATAAAGTCACCAGCTGCATTAGTCTGTACCAAGAGTGTCAGCCTGTCCTTCGGAGCTTTGAAGCCAGTTATTAACTTCCCCTTAGCTGTGAAAGTCCTAGATGGAATCTTCTTCCAATAAAAGTCTGTGGGGCCTACATTGAAAATCTGTTGCTTAGTGGAGCCAGCTTCATCCCTTCTCTTAGCTATATCTTCTGGATAATCTGCTGCAGCTTCTACGTCAGCACTTGCTGCTTCACCTTGCACTTTTCTGCTTTGAAGACAGCTTCTTTTCTGAAACCTTATAAACCAACCTCTGCTAGCTTCAGACATTTCTTCTCCAGCTCTGTCACCTCTCTTAGCCTTCATAGAATTGAAGATAATGAGGGCCTTGCTTTGGATTAGGCTTTGGCTTAAGAGAATGTCGTGGCTGATTTGATCTTCTATCCAGGCTACTACAACTTTCTCCATAATCAGCAATAAGGATGTTTTGTTTTCTTATTATTCATGTGTTCACTGGAGTAGCACTTTTAATTTTCCTCAAGAACTTTTCCTTTGCATTCACAACTTGACTAACTGTTTGGCACAAGAGGCCTGGTTTTCATCGTGTCTCAGCTTTCAGCATGCCTTCCTCACTAAGCTTAATCATTCCTAGCTTTTGATTTAAGGCGAGAGACGTGTGACTTTTTCTTTCACTTGAACACTTAGAGGCCATTCTACTAGGGTTAGTCATTGGCCTAATTTCAATATTGTCGTGGCTCAGGGAATAGGGAGGTCCAAGGAGAGGGAAGCAGATGGGGGAAATGGCTGGTCGGTAGAGCAGTCAGAACACACACATTTATTGATTAAGTTTGCATCTTACATAGGCATGGTTCATGACACCACAAAACAGTTAAAATATTAACATCAAAGATCACACATCACCGTAACAGAAATTATAATAACATTTGAAATATTACAGAATATTGCATGACACGGACACAGGAAATGAGTACCTGTTGCTGGAAAAATGGTGTCAATAGACTTATTCAAGTTAAACCTTCAACTTGGAAAAAATGTAATATTTTGTAGTGCAATAAAGCATATGCCTGTATAGTACATATAATATATATCATGAGTAATCCAACCATTTATAAAAAGCTAAGACATCCAGAAGAATATTGCATCACTTTGCAAAATAATATTTTGATCACAGTGTTGTCTAAATGAATCTAAGAAATATGTATTAAGCGTCTGAGTTGACAAATGGATGTTAAAACTAAGAGTAAAATGCAGATCTAGAAATATTTTGGATGTTGCTGAGAGTGTGTATTCAGGAAATAGAGCAAAGGGTGGCTGATGATTACACACTGTGGTTTGCAGCACATGGATAAAGCACTTGGTCACCTGTTCTACATTATTATTAATTTTTGCACATGAAGGGTTGGTAGGGAGCAGAGAAGGTAGCCTACTAAGTTCCTTTCTTTCCTTCCCATAGGTAGAGCCATAGTCCATTTGAGATGTGAATGTACTGAGTTCAATAGAAACAGTTAGATGAACAGTTCAGATGAACAATTCTAACCTGCTAGTAAAATCCCGAGAAGAAAAGATGGTGTTTTCTACTTAACAAAACAAAATGTGGAATCGTGGGGTGCTGATGATATTCCATCATCACTAGGGAATGTGCTGCCAGTTGGTTTTTCTCACAGTGGGAATGCATTTCTACCAAGCCTCCTTTCCCATCTGAGAGGTCAGGACTGTGGGTACAATTTACAGACACAGTAAAGGTAAAACTGGGAGGCCACTATCTCACCTGCTCCCTGCTTAAAGCCCTTCCGTGGCTGTCTACGTTGCCTTCAGAATAAATTCTGAGCTTAGCATGGAAAGCTGTTCATTGGGCCCTGCATTTCTCACTGGGATCATTCCTCACCACTTCTTCCCTTGCACTGTAGCTACACTGAATACCCTGTCTTTAAAAGGGTCCTACTATCTCACACTTTAGCCCTTGCTATTCCTTCTTCCTGGAATCCCTTTCTCCACTTATTTTCTCTTCAAATTATTTTGTAGATCTATAGTGGGAAGAAAGCACCTCTCAGCACAGAGCCTAAGATTTCTCAAAATGAGTAGTAAGCAAACACCCCTAAAGAGTAACCCATACTTAGCTGTGCCAGAAGTTCCTAAGGAAGCTGAGATGCCCTTATCAATCATGAAATAAAATCCAAACATCCATGCACACTAAGAAATTCGCGATAACATTCCTCGTGGGTAGCAGGGAGAACCAGACAGTCAACCAATACATCCACTGTAGATGACGTGGCAAGAAGTGCTATCAAGAGAAAGAAAGCCATGGTGAAGGGTAGAAAGGATGGGAGTTGGAGTGTCAGGTAAGGTGGTTGGGGAGGGCATCATTGATGACAGGAATGATTGAGGCCAAGCCTATCAATTGGATGCCAAGAACCTTGCTCAAAGCTGCAGGTAATCTTGAAGAATATTGAAAAGGAAATAGACCCCAGAATCATTGCCAGGAAAGCCTGTCCAGTTTGGGAATTGAATTTGCCCTGAGATGACTTTTTGAAGCAAGTTGATTTGTGACCATTCCATGTGCATTGTTAACTAACAAAATAGGAGTGAATCATTCTGTCTGTGGTATTACTCAGGTTGAGCCCTGCCTTTGAGCTGAATCCAAGTCCCACAATCAATCCCCTCCCCACTCAGCCATCTCCCCCTACAAAATCACTGGACAAGTTGCTGCCATAAGTAGCAGTGCATTTGGCTGTGCCAGAACTGGTCAGTCAAAAAGTAGCCTCCAAGCAGCTACTATGTGCCTAGAGCTGGGATGAATACTACATATTTTACAGCTGTGTCAGAGATCCCTGTTCCACTTGATTCTGCAGTCCAGTAAAGGAGTCCAAATGCTTCCATCCATAGAACACACTCCATAAACACTTACTTGGTGCAGAATTGATATAATGCAGACTTCATTGCTGTGGAACTGAGGCCCTTGGAAGCACTCACTATGTGCCAGTCACTGGACTTCACACATTGGTCTTATATAATCTCCAGAGCACCCTATGAAGTTGCCAATGTTATCTTCTCCACTTGACAAATGAGGACACAGAGGTGTGTTGGGTTAAAAGTTGCTGCAGACCTAGAAGGAGGCTCCTCAACATACTCTGGGAGCTGAAAAGTTGTCTGTTTTCCAGTTGTTGCTGGGTTTTGCCATCTATATAATGGGAAGTAATAATTCTCATAAGGTCATGGTGAAGGGCAACAAGAGACTTTACAAAAAACATCTGACACAGATGCTAGACAGAGCTGGCTAAGACAGTGAAAGGTGAACCTGGATCTCACTACCTGATCCCTCCAGCTTCTTGGAAATTTAATACCCTACACCTGAATCCAGCATCACTGGGCAGCATTTCTGTGGGGTGAGTTTGGAGTGGGTGGAGGAGCTATCCTAAGGGAACAACCTACTGCTTTAACGGTGATTAAAAATATAGCTTAACCTAGAGCGAGGATTTTCTTACACTGCATGGAAATAGGTGAAAATAAAAGAAAAAAAGGGTTAAGAAACCCACTGGGTTTGTTGGCTCAGAGACTCCCGCTCGGGGACAATTTTAGAAGAGCTCTGTGCTTTGAAATGTGGCTGCTCATTCTTGTTCTTGATCAACCATAGCCTTTCTCACCTGATTTCCGTGTAGCATCACTTAGAGCTCTACGTGTATCTAAATATATATATGCTTATACCCAGATGTGCTCTTTCCTCTTGATTATCGAATCTTTTAAGAAATCTCCACAGTTGTTCCCTCCGGGCTCTCACAGCACTGTTCATAGCAAGCCATCAATTGTGACCAACTCCTTGAAGTCAGTAGGCATCTTCCCTCCAGTCAGGTCTTGAGGAGGAAGCACTGTGGCCTTGCCCACGGCCTGTGAGCTCTAAATACCATCTGAGGTTGCTCACAAGCTCTCTACGGTTGAGGCCAAGTCATTTATATAAAGAGGCTTTTGTGCTCAACACTTTTTGTTGGATTTTTTCAGTGTGGTAAAGACATCTATATGATCTAAACGAACAGCAGGAAACCTTACTTCCTCATCACACAATTCAAAAGAGTCACAGGTGAATTATGCATTCGGTATTGTGAGAGCTTCTCAATTAACAATGGCAGATGCCACCCAGAGTTTCCTCCAAAAAACATTAGAAAAAGGATCCTTCACCACACATTCATTTCCCTACAAGTTTCCTGCCTGTTTCAAGGAGGGTTTTTAAGAACACACACTTTGAATTACAAATATCATTTAATGAAGAAGGAATAGCTACAGTGGCAGAAAAAACAAACACACACATTTTTGGGACTGGGCATTCAGGATCCCCAAGTTATGCTTCTGTTTCTTCATTGGTTACCTGGGCAACATAAACCCATATCTGCTTTTCTGAGCCACTACAAGTCTTTAGGCAAAATGGATAGTCTGTATGCTACATATCTGGGATGAGTGCATTTCTAATGGAGGAAAATAGGTAAAACAGTGTATACAGTGAAAATATAGTTCTAAACACCTGAAGGTAATCCATGAATACCTTCTCACAGATTGCAAAGGGCTCTATTTGTATGGTCTCAGGTGTTGATTGTTTATCAAAAAGCTATGATGTATTTAAATACATGGTACCCATTACACCTGAGCATCTCACAAACATCGATGCCTACTGATGGGTGAAAAAAATGAGGGATAGAGAGCTGCATACTGAATAATCTCAAGTGGCTTCCAGATGTGCTGATAGCATGTGTTTTGAGTTTTGGCTTATAGCTGATTTAGGGGCAAGACTAGAAATTAATGCCTTTGGTTTCTTGAGACAGCCATGGATTCTGAATTACATTGCATTCAAGTTCTTAAATGTTCAGAAGCCATTGTCCGTGTAATTAAAAAAGACCCAGGCTTATTTCAGCAAACATGGTTCAGTGTTTCAGTGGGAAGACTCTTAAACCTCAGTATCCAAAGAGAGAGTAGCATTTGGTCAGTTGCATTTTCTTTTTAAATCTGGGTTTTCCAGAACAGTATTTTCAGTTTGTACTCTTTTTTTTTTTGGATGTTTGTAGCATGTTTGTTGAGCACTTGCTTTAGGCCAGCCACTGGACTAAGTTCTGGGGTACATCGACTTAAAACAATTATAGATAGATGGATGGATGCACACATGGATACATGAATGGATAGATGGATGGATGGCCTAATTTCAAAGAGATCATAGTCTGGTAGGGGTAAAATAAATTAACCTTAATACAGCATGATATGTAGTAGTAGGGGAGTCTAAGGGGGGAATTTAATATGTGTATCTAGAAGGGTCAAGGAAAATCTTCGTGGTGATGGCAGATTTGGACTGAGTTCAGTTTTGAAAGATGAGTAAGAGTTTGTCAGACTGAAAAGTATAAGAAGGATATTGCAAGAATATACAACAATGCAGGGGGAAAAGGCATAAAAAGTGAATATTAGAAGCCTTGTATGTGACTGGCATTAAGCACAGCATGGAAACAGTGTGGGCAAGGGAGTGAGGATCGGCCTGGAAAGATGAAGGAGAGTGTGAGCCCCATGGTTCAGAGTTTGGGCTTTTTTCTGTAAGAAAGTGAGTGTCATGATCACATTTGCATTTTAGAAAAGAAAGGAATCATAGGGGGAGAAGAAACTGGAAAATGGAATGCCAGTTAGGAACATGTTGCAGTAGAAGTTCACACAGCAACCACGAGGGCCTGAACAAAAGCCATGGCAGTGGGCTAGTGAGTGGATCACAGAGATAGAGTTTCTCAGGAGGCTGAACCAACAGAGCTTTTGACTCATTGAATGTGTGGAATGAAAGAGAGAAATGAATCAAGGATTTATTCTGATTTCATTGACTGGGTGAATGAATGGTGATGTCATTGACAAAAAATATAGAAAGACAAATGAATATGTTCCCAAGTATACGATCTAGTGAATTGAAAAGTCCAGGAATCCTCCTTGGCCTCAGGTCAGACCTGCCTGGATTCCTCAAAAATATAAAGAAAAAACATGAGGCTTCACACAAAATAAGGTCTTTGAGAAACCTTTTCAGTGAATGTAAGTATGATGGGAAACTAGATCTCAAAAAAGAGAAAGCTTGCCCATTTTTTGCCATGTTTGTATCATTTTGCAGGCTAATATTTTGTTTTGTTTTGTTTTCTCAATCTATTCCCTGATCATATTTCAAGGTTTTGTTTTTACTCATCAGAATGACAGGAAGTTTTCAGTGTGTGTTTCCTTCAAGTTTGGCCTCAACCTTATTTTCAGGATTAGGCGTTTGTTTTTCCGTTTGCCTCCATGACAACGGAGTCCAGAATTCCTATATATAGTCATCCAGCATCCATTGTCCCCCTGGCCATTGTATCATAATCTTGTGCGTCCAGGCCAGAGAGCTCCACTGATGACAGTAGACAAGGAGGTGCCAGAGTCCTTGGCCTGGAGATTTTCAAGGCATAATCAAAAGAAGGAAATAAAATAATGTGACTGCCTTTAGAGGCGTATGTTCCCCCTTAGACACTATGGAATGGAAATGGTTTGTATTCTAAAGCTTAGTTTCGAATATAATTTTCTTTTGGAATAGCCCATAGATAAAGAACATTTTTGAGGCTCTTCAGAGGAAATACTTGGAAAGTTGCATTGGTGATTTGTGGTTTTTATTGTTTCTCTGGATACCAAATTCTGCTCAGTGTTAACAGCACTTGAGAAACAGGTATTTTGAGAATGGGAATTAAATCAAGGTACAAAGGAATTCGGATAGAACCGAGAACAATTTTTTAAATCAGCAGACTTCTTGAGTCTGAGAATCATCTTGATAGCTCTGTGTTACACACTGTTTTAATAACTTAAAACAATATATATGTATCTGGACTTAACAAAGTTGTCCACAAGTTTAATCCAGGAAACATTTTCTTAAGTACCTTTCCAGGCACTTCTAAGCAATTGAGATACATCAGCGAAAAAGACAGCATGAACCCTTGCTCCTGTGGAGCTGACATTACCTGCTTGGTTGTCATTTCAGATTGACAGGAACAATGCCTTGTGTGCCTGTATAGCACGGCTGTCCACAAATTCAATCTAATGGATATTTTCTTAAGTACCATCATTAAGTATTTATGGTGATAATTAAAGTTTATGAAGTTTGTAAGGAACCTAACAGATGATCTTGTCTAAAGGCACCTAAAAAAATTACTGCAGTAAAAACCATATAACATGGGAATTTACCCTCTTAACAAATTTCTAAGTATATAGGATAGTATTGTTAACTGTATACACATTGTTATACAGCAGATCTCTAGAACTCTTTCATCTTACACGACTGAAACTCTATATCCATAGAACAACAACTCTCCACTTCCTTCTACCCACAGCCCCTGGCAACCACCATTCTACTGTCTGTCTGTATGGGTTTGACTGCTCTAGGTGCCTCATGGAAGTGGCATCGTGCAGTATTTGTCCCTCTGTGACTGGCTTTAGCATATAACAAGATTTCCTTCTTTTTTAAGGCTAAATAATATTCGTGTGTGTGTGTGTGTGTGTGTGTGTGTGTGTGTTATACACCACATTTTCTCTCATTCACATGTTGATGAACACTTAGGTTGCTTCTACCTCCTGGCTATTGTAACTAATGCTGTAGTGAACATGGGAGTACATATCTCTTCAAGATCTTAATTTCAGTTCTTTTGGATAAATATCCAGTAGTGGGATTGCTTGATCATACGATAGTTCTGTTTTTAATTTTTTGAGGAAATTCTATGCTATTTTCCGTGAGACTGTACCATTTTGCATTCCAAACAGCAGCACACAAGGGTTCCAGTTTCTCCACAGCCTTGCCAGCACTTACTTTCTTTTTTTGATAATCACCATCCTAACTAGGGAATCCTTTTCAAAATGCCTTAAGCATTTTAATTTCATTTAAAATGTAAATACATGTATTCACCAGTATTGTGATACAGGGTAAAGCCTATGTATTTGAATCTCGTTCCTTTGATTGAAGTTCCCTGTTTTCTCCCTTGTGTAAACCACACTCACCTACACTGCGTTGTGTGTTACTTCCAGTTTCCATTTCTTTGAAGTGGAATGAGAACTTAGACATTTGTGAAACAGTCTTAGAGCAGAGTCCTTCTAGATTTTTATGTTCTCAATCTTTTATAGTTGGTCTTGCCAAAATGTAACTTAACAGTAATTTTTTTTTAGCAACTTGACTTTATCAAGTCTTTTCAAAGCATTCAACATAGCTTTCATAGAAATAACACTTTTATACCTATATTTTATCTTATAGAATATTAATTAAATTGAATGAGCTCAGTAGCAAATATAACTGGTACAAAAAAGTTTTAGGAGCAAATGAAACTGATGATTCTTGTTAGCATTAGGTCCAGTGCTAGAAGCAGAAATGGATGGACCTGCTAAAGGATGGTGTACAGCATCAGCCTAGATACCACTGTTGCCATGGTTCTTCTTTGGTTAGAATGTTTTAAGGTCAGAGACATTGATCTAGCCAAGTTTGCTTAAGGAGGACTTGTAAATGTAATATGAGGTATAATGAGATCAGGGCAAGAATCACAATGTGTATGTATTGGCAAAGCATAGAGGAAAGCAAAGAGTTCTGTTCGGATTGCTGGGAAAAATCTTCACAGAGGGTGTGACATTTCAGCTGAGTTTTGAAGGATGGGTAAGAATTTGCCAGGGAAAAAGAAGAGAAAGCACACTGGTGGCGTTGATTAAGGATCCCCAAGGATGCAATACGTAGAATTTGCAAGAAATTGGAAGCTAGCTGGAAGTGAGGCTGGAGACATGGGCTGAGACGAGACTGAAGAGCTTTACTCTTGAGCAATAGGGCACACTCATATCATAATCATATATGAGTAATGATATGTATGCTGGCTGAACTGGAATTGATCTTAGAAGAAGAAACACCAGGTAGGAGACTTCAAGAGTTGCCCATATGTAATAGGAGGACCTCAATGAACAAGGGGTAGGGAAGGCAGGACTGAGGAGGAAAATGAATGGAGGCAGGTCATGAGGCATGTCTCTGATGCGTTATACCTGTTTAAATGTGCTGCCACAGGGAAGGGAGAAATCTGAACCTTTGAAGGAAGAATCTCACAATTTGAGCTCAAACAAAGTGGTGGGCCATTTACCAACATTCAGAACGCAGAAGGAGATGTTTAGGGAAAGATGGTGTCAGTTCTCAATGTGGTGAGTTTCAGGAGTCCATCAGACACAAAGCTTGAATAGTCTTTCAGCTTTAGATGAAGACTCAGATGATCACAAAGCTCATTAGGTTTCCCATTGCAGAATTCTGTTTCTGGTCACTACAGATTCCTGGATCACTGTCGCATACATGAAAATACTGAAACTATTTTTGTCCTTTGCCTAAGTTTATTAGCAGTTGTATAATAGAAGTTGCATGGCATCCCAAAAGTTTCCTGGCTATTAAATAAAGTACATTTTTAGCTGCCCTCTTACCTTTGTTTGTGTACCTTTCTCAAATTTTCTTCACTAGAAATAATGGTCTATACGTCTAGCTTATTTGGGTTCTCCCTCAACCTCCTCACTTTGGGCATTTACAATATCTTAAGTTATCCACAGATAATATTCTGTTTCTAATGGCCCATGCTACCAACCATTAGTTGCTAAATAGTCTGCTTTTCAGAAGAAAATTACAATCCATGTATTATTTTGAACTTCCTATGCTATTTTAGAACTTGGCGATTTTAAATTGTCCCTTACACAACCTACCCCACCCTCTGATGTACATGTTTTTCTGTTCAGACTCATCATTTCTTTACCCTAGGGAAATTAAGTCATTTTTTTTCATTGTGATAATAATGTAGTTGTTGAATTTCTGTTTAGTTTCTCCAAAATGTACGACTTAAGGTGGAGGTGTAGTGAGTTGAACGTTTAGGTAGCTGCGTGTCTAGTGTTGATTTCATTAATTAGCACACTAATTAATACTAGTTATATTTATTAATGGACACTCATAGTTCTCTTGACATCCCCTCTCCATCTCTCTCACTCCCACATTCTGTGAGGCACAAAGTGCTGCTGATTTTTCCTTCCTTCCCCTGCCTGTTTATAAATACCTCTATTAAAACATTTTGTTTGCATTGTATCACGATCAATTATTTACATCTTTGTCTGAGAAAGTGAGTTGCTTGAGGTCAAGGCTCAAGTCTTACTGTCCCAGAACAGGGTCTCCTATTTACTTAAATGCTCAGTAAATATTTGCTGAATGAATGGGTGTAATTGAATCATTTGCCCCTTGGCCACCTCTAAAATTTGCTTGCCTAAAATTCCTTGTCTTTTATTTTTTCTTGGTACTTGATTCACACTGACCAACAAGCCTGTCTTCCAAGTCTGCACAAAAATCTAGCTCAAATATAATTAAATGTACTCGCTGGCACCAAGGTACTTCTGTTCCCTTTCACCTTCACTCATATTCTCTATGCAGGGCTGCAGAAAATTGAGAATTGATCCTCTGGTATAGCTTCCTCTTTGTATCACTTAGAGCATGCAAGGGGGCTGTCCTCTGCGGCTCCTACAATTTGCTGCCCAATTGACTCTTATTCTTCCTTGTGTCTTCCTTAAACTTACAATAGCTGAACTCTCCTGTTACTGTTCATTTGTTCTCTTTGCCTCTTTTATTCCTTCAATCAGTGGAGTAAGTTTACTAGACATGGAGAGGCCTGTATTTTCATAAGTCAACTGCTCAACTGTCTCCCCTAATAAATATGAGTTTCTAGAAGGCATCTCTCATGTCTTCTTTGACTTTGGATCCCCAGAGCCAGCACGTGACCTGGCACTAGCACAATGTTAACTAAATGTTGTGGAATTGGAACTGTGAATACTCAAGAAAGTCTCATTCTCTCAGGCTTATGGTCCATTTATTTGTCGTTTGCCTTTATAAAGTCAAATTTCTTGTGATTGTTTCATTTTTTTCTCTAAGTTTTGGAGAAAAAAAGGAAAAAAATCAAAACAACTCAAACTGTTATTCTAGAGAGCTGGAATTAGCAAAAAAAAAAGTCCAATTTCTCCAGGAACATGAAAAATGAGAGGGTTAGGACATCCCATTTAGAATTCAGCCCTTACCTGGTTTGAAATCCTGAGCTGTTCAAGAGCCACGAAAAAGCACCCATCTCTCATTTGCATTTGTGTATCTTTCTTTTCCCAGCCAAACCCCACTTGAGGAATGTTAGAGTGTTATTATTTGAGGACAATTTATCAAGCATCTAACTAAAGCATGACATTTAGACAGATAGGTTTCCAGTTCTGGGTATTTGCAGGGCTTATCTTCACAACATGCTTCTAGAAATGTCTCCTGTGTGGTCCCTTATTTTGTTTATATAAGCATTTTGAAATTTCAGATATTCTTTCTCTTTTTGAGTCTTGCTTTATTTTTTTTCATAATGCTTCAAAATGTTAGTGTTTTCTTCCCTATTCATTTTAGTGTTATTTTCTGTCTATTCTATTATCATTTGCATCTGTTCTAATGTTATTTTCTTAACTATTTCAACCTTTCTATCACTTTCTCTCTTTCCTCTCTACTATGTGTTTATTGCTGAAGCAACGTTCATGTTCTTTTTGGCTCCTCTGATTTGTATCACAGAACCCTAGAGGTCACCATTGAGAACAGATGCCTAAGACACAAGACTCAGACTTTATAATCAGACAGGTCTTTGTTCAAATCCTACCTCTGCTTCTTCGTGTCTATGTGACCCGTCATCCTCAGCTTCAGCTACCTCACTGGTAAAATTGAGATGTAAACCCAATTAGACCGCACACCATAGTTGTGAGAATTAATTGCTGGCTTCTGAATAAATTCTAAATCCTATAGGCACTGTGACCATCATTGCTAAAATTCTAATTTGATCCTGATTTTAATTCATTTCT
The DNA here is from genome assembly GCF_000001405.40 of Homo sapiens. Taxonomy (NCBI): domain Eukaryota; kingdom Metazoa; phylum Chordata; class Mammalia; order Primates; family Hominidae; genus Homo; species Homo sapiens. The sequence goes on from NC_000009.12 coordinate 106,968,385, forward strand.
TATGATAGCTTACAAACTGGAGAACTCCATATAACTTAATTAAATTTATTTTATAACTACAATTATACATTATAATTTCATTTCTAAAACTTCACATATAATTAAAGTCACAAGTCAGAGAATAAAACTCTTTTCTCAGACTGTATGTGTCAGGGTTGGTTGGTTGGTTGGTTGGTTGGTTGGGAATGTATGGTGATGCTAAGCCATGACCTGCTTTTAAAGGTGGACCACCTTAGTCTTTGCTGTTGGTTCCATTGTAGATACCACTGGCCATACAGGTGTTAAAGATCTAACTTGTGTGAGCCGCAGTTGGGTGCAGAACTTCCCACTGAATTCACATCCATGTGATTCAGCTGCTGTATTTCCCCATGACCAGAAGTCTGACTCTCCCAACACAAGGATATTTTTAACCTTTCTTTCCTTAAGCTCAAAATGAAAGAAAATAGTCTTAATGATGATTTTTAACTTATGTGACATGCCCTTCGCAGCTAACAATCTGTTTGCCTTTCTAACCTGGGCACAGAACGACCTCCTTCCTGCTCTTCAGGCCATGCTTCATGAACAAACAGGAATTTTATGTAGCTTAGCAAGTGGGCTTTTTAAAGATCGGTGGAATGATACACACTCATGTCTTTATCACTTTAGTGCCCAAAGTGCTAAAATCCTACATTATTCACAAATTCCACGTGAGCGAGAGCGAAATTGAGAATGTTGGCAGCAGAAAGGAAAGTAAAGCCCTAAGAAAATCCAAAAAGTTGTAACCTGGGCATTATTACAAATGTGTCCTAAATGATGGGATTTGCTTGTTTTTGTCAATAAACCTGTCCATCTGATTTTAACCAGGAGGAAAAAAAAAATTTTATGACATGGACGCATTAGCTGTTCCTTTTGCACTGCCATTTGAGAAGGGCAATGAGCCTCTGTTTCTTGGAATGCTTTTCCCGTGACTTCTTGCATTTTTATTTCTTCAGGTTTTCCATACTGTATAAATACCAGAGTTAAAATATAGAATTTGTTTTTTGAGATGGATGAAATAATATGCAATAGGCCCTAGAGACAAGATAAAAATGTGTTAACTAAAAGAGATTGGGGTCCTTGGAGGGGGTCTGCCTGACAGATCAGTGCATGTGTTGAGTTGGGGGTGGATGGGAGGTCTGGGAGTGCATTCATCTGGCTTATCATCTGGCTAGGAGCCGTTCATTTCTTTATAGTTTTGCTAGAAAGGGACTGGAGATGTCAGGTACCTGGTATCTGAGATGACTACCAGCATTCATACTAATCTGGGAGATCCAGGGATGTGCCTTGTTATGGAGGGGACTGTGACTCCTTTAAGACCTAGACCATCACTTGGGAGATTTGTTTTGGTCTCTGGGTGGATTGTGGATGGTAGACAGATCACAGGCCAGCAGGACCTGGCTTTGGCCTTGCTGGTTATAGAATTTCTATTCTGCAGAGCTAAGAGTGCAAACTAGGACCAACATTACCAAGAGGACAGAAGCTATCTGGGGATCCTGGCTGGCAGTGCTCAACTTACAGCTCAAGCCTGTGATAACAGGAGAGGTGGAGTGTGTTTTGTGCTTCATTGTGCATGTGTTTCAAGCAGAAACTAGACTTGAGGGCTTAAATAGAAAACATCTCAAACAATCCATGAAATGGTAAACAAACCTGCTATTGAATGAGAAGAATGAAAAGTTGACAATTGCATTATTGTGATCCAGAGTGGGTTCATCAGCTAGGGTAGAGGAATAAAGAAAAAGGAGATAAAAGAACTGGGTAAAATGAATTCAGTTGTCATTCCTTTCTTCCTTTGTCTTCCATTTACACCTGGTAATGAACCTATGGAGGCTTGGAGACATTGTTCAGGTTTCCTTTTGTTTTATTTTTGTGTGTGTGGCAGGTTTGTTTACAATTTCCAAAGGGGTTTTTCTCAATCTTGAGGAATATGAATTGAGGAGGCGGGGAGGAGAACAAGAAGGGGAAGATATTTGAGTGTTTTGCAGACAGGCGGTGGCCCAGCAATCAGGGAGGCTGCTCTGCTTTTGTTTTCCTGTTCGAAGAGGCTGACGGGATGGATGGTGCTGGTTTCATCAAATATGGGTTTTAGAGAATTCCTCCATGTCCTGCCTTAGGGAATTATGCTTTGGAAAATTAAGTGTCCATCAAATCAGGAGGAGGCTTGTACAGTTTCTATCCCCTTTCCCCCCTGCTTTTTGAAAGGCTTAAGAAAAGAGCCCTTTGTTTTCTTTTCAAGGAAAGTTACACTGAAATTCATCTGTGTGGTATTCATGGACTTCATTTGTGTCATTCATAGGCAGCTGTAGGTTATATAGGACAATGTTTTTGAATTTCTAACCTCCACATTGCAAGCAGCATGTTGGGAAAAGGTTCAAGACCTTTTACTTTTCCTCTCCCCCAACCCCTTTATTTATTTATTTTTACTTTTTTTTCTCTTCTTTTTTTTTAATTCAAAGAAGAAACGCTGAGATTTCCCCTCCTCCCTCCTAGATCAGATTTCTCCACCGCATGCCATTGAAGCTTCTCGGGGTTAAGATTTGTGCCTGTCATTTCCGACATTTTCCTCAGAATCGCAAACTTTAAAATACCTTTCAGGGAAACTTGTTTGGAATTTCATTTTAATGGGATTTATGAATAAATCTCCATCTTAATGCTGACTAAGCTTTAAACATCCATTCCAGGAGAACGCTATTGGATTTTTATATTTTAAAATTTAAATCACTTGAGTGTGAAGGCATAAAACATTTTTATATTTGTGTGAGTGCCTTGTGCTTGAGCATTTCTGTTAAAGACTGATTTTTTTTTTAAATTTGGTTGCTTGAATAAATCTGGGCTGCAAAGGAGGAGATGTTGCATCATGTCCTTTCCTTTCTCGTGTAGACGCCTGTGTACATTATGCAGGTTTATTTTCTCACCTACAGGGAAGGGTATTCTGTGGCAACCTGTTGCCATGCTGCGATTTCCTTTAAAAAAAAAAACAACAACAACAAAATAAAACAAAAAAACGGTTTACTTTCTTCCTACACTTTGAAACCTTTAACCTCAAAATTTTATTTTTAAATACCATGAGCCCTCAAAGTCAGATTAAAAGAGGTGATAGTTCCTCCCGGCATGCATTCCCCAAATCTGTGTTGTAGAATGTAAATGAAGATAAAAGATGGAATCATAATCATCCCTCTTAAAAAAAAAAAAAAAAGAACTCTCAAAACTAACATTGGTCAAAAGATGCAAACATTCCGTTATAAAATTAGTAAGTTCTAGGGATCCAATGTGCAGCATAGTGACTATAATTTATAATACTTGAAATTTGTGTGGTGTACTTGAAATTTGCTGGGGGAGTAGGTCTTAGGTGTGTTCCCTGCACATTACAAATGGTAACTGTGAGGTGATGGATACGTTCATTAAATTGATTGTGGTCATCATTTCACAACAGATACATATATCAAATCATCATCTTGTACACCTTAAGTATAAACAATTTCCGTTTGTCAATTATACCTTAGTAAAGCTGGAGGGTAAAAAGAAACCTGATGTCAGGGGTTTTCAAGCATCGATCACCTACTGTGTTCTCTGTGCCCCGTGTCATTTTTCCCGTCTCTTCACAGACTCATCATATTCAGAGCCCCCAGATGTTCAGCAGCAGTTGAACCACTATCAGTCAGCTGCCCTGGCAAGGAACAACAGCCGTGTTAGCCCTGTGCCTCTTTCTGGGGCTGCTGCTGGCACTGAGCAGAAAACTGAAGCCGTGCTTCACTGCGAATTCTGTGAATTCTCCTCCGGCTACATCCAGAGCATCAGGCGTCATTACCGGGACAAGCATGGTGGGAAGAAGCTTTTCAAGTGCAAAGACTGCTCCTTTTACACAGGCTTTAAGTAAGTGACGTAATGAACAGCTATGGAAAACAAGGCGGCCGCCCCTGCTCCACCCCTCACTGCAGGCTTCCCTTACACTTTCCTACTTGGAGCTTATGGGAGGCCCTGCCCATGTGATGATGTAGGGGTTGGGTCCAGGCTTCATGGAAGGAGGGTAGTTTCAGAAGACTGCTTTGGGATTTGGGAAGGGATGAAGAGCTATATCAGAACAAATGAGTTTTAAAATTGGAGCAAATGGGCTCTCAAGTAGTGTAAGATTGAAGCAAATGATTTCCTCCCATGCGTGGAGTGGTGTTTCCCTTCAGAGAACTGTCTCCTCTCCTTTTTTTAGCTTTGGAAAAAAAAGTATGTTCTTGGAAGCAAAGTCAAAGTCAAGAGAAAACATCCGGCAGTAGTGTCTTCCCTGCTCCCCTGATAGAAAATTCTTTAATTCTTAAGATCGTAGTATTGAAAGACACATAGAGAATCAAGACCCTGGCACTTCCAACACTACACTTGAGCAATCATAGGGAGATTGCTCCAGTCTAGAAAAAGAGAATCCATAGTCACCCTTGCCCCTGTGGATGACAGAATTGATGGACTCAATTATTAAGAATGGAATGCTTCCTATGATGTAATCTAAGCTTCTGCATTTGAATCTCATCCTGTGAGATAGCGTTTAGGTTAGTGGTTACAAGTGTAGAGTGTGGAGCCTGACTACCTGGGTGATTCTGGACAAGTCACTAAGACACTATCTGTGTCCCTATTTTGTTAACCTATAAAATAAAGATAATAATAGTACCTACATCATAGGGCTCTTGTGAGCAATAAATGAACCAGTGTATCTTGAAGTACTTAGAATAGTGCCTGGCACAAAGCAAACACTAATAAGTGTAATAATATCATAGATAGAAAGCTATTATAATAATATGACATTAGATATCATAGATAAAAAGCTATTATTTTCTGTTCCTATTGTAATCAGGATCTGAGCCTTAGACTACTTCAATACATGCTTCACACCGAGAGGCTGTGGAAATTAGGCTTCATGTCCAAAGAAAAAGAAGAATTGGAAGAAGAAGTCTCTTTCCCACCAGCATCGTAGTAGCTGGGATTTGATGGAACGTGTGTTCTATCTCTATTAATTTGCTCCAGTTACTTTTCAGATAAATACATTTGTGATTTGGTGCTGAGAGAAGGCTAGAGGACCCCAGAGGGCAAGGGCCGACAGACAGGCAGACACTTTCTCCAGAGAGCAACACTCGGGTTCACAAGAAAGGGTCCCTGCCCATTAAAGTCTTGGCTTTATCGATTTTAATGAGACATTTAAGGCTTTGCAAATTTTGAAGATTTGAAAAGGATGGAGGAAGAGGCAGCAGTACCATTCCACCTTTAAGCTGGTACAACACCACTTAGTTTACCTAATCATCAATCATGATGATTGACTTCCTGGACAACTTGTCCTCCCCCCCTTACCTGTGAAGAATTATACAGGCAGTTTCTAAGTCAACCTAGCTTTAAAATAGTCTCTCTCCTCCCAAGCATGATGAAAAATAGTTCCTTTTTTGGGATTTTGTTTTGATACTCTTAACAGACAATTTTTAAGAATAAGGTGTTTGGGGAATTTGTTTCTTTTCAAACTAAGCTCTGAACCCAGCCCAGGGCACAGTTTCCAGAAAGAAGTTACTACCATTTGACAGTGTTCAGATTCGGTTGAGTGACCAAGTTTCTGGGTGGTCAACAAACATGATGAACAGATTTTTTTTTAGCCCCACAAGCAGGAGAGCCGCACTTGGACATATATAACGGGTTTGCCAGCAGGAAATGTGAAAATGCAATGATCCCTGGTTACACGCATCACCTCTCCTCCCAAACTCTCTCCTAGATCTGCTTTTACTATGCACGTGGAAGCTGGGCACTCAGCAGTTCCCGAGGAGGGCCCCAAAGATCTTCGCTGTCCTCTCTGCCTCTATCACACCAAATACAAGCGCAACATGATTGACCACATCGTGCTGCACCGAGGTAACCTTTCTAACTTGGTTTTCTTGGATGCAGCGGGGGGCAGGCAGCAGAGATGGCCTTCTAGGGATGCTCTCTCAGAGTGGCAGTAGCACCTGTGCCTTGTTCCTCACCTTATCTTCAGGCAAGAAACCACAGTGATAACCACAGTGACAGCCAAAAGGGCAAAAACACCTTCCTGCTGGGAGTATTTCCTCCACCTGGAGGGAGGCAAAGGTGATGGATTCTGCAGTGAACATTTCCGTAGGGCTTCCCAGCATGGGGGATTTGTACATTCTGACAATTCTGCCACCCACAGCCTTGCGTAGACTGCATAGAAGGAATGAACAAGAAACAAAATGGGTGGGTGAAAGCAAATGTGAAATGTGGAGAGCTCTATGGCTGTGAGAGATTCTTTCAAGAAGACCAAAATGATTTCCAAAGCAGAACATGGAACTTCCCTTGAAATGGTTGAAGGGAGAGAGAATTCTTTAAAATAATGTATATTATACATTCTAATAATAGTCTCTATTATATATTCTAATAATAATTAGAAAATCCATGGGCTTTGGATTTAAATTCTGGTTTTAGAGCCCACTGTGTTTAACCTCTCCATCCATTAAAAGAGATGATTGTACCTATGAGATAATGGGTAAAGTGTCCAGTGGTTTTTCATAATGGATGCATAATGACTGCTCAATAAATGTTGGTTCCTGCTGATAAACAGTGATACTTCTTTTAAGTCCACTTCGGTCTTTCTTTGAGTTGCATTTACCCTTGGCCAATTAAAACACTGTTAAACAACAGCCTTCCTCTGCATTGGAAGGAAAAATATGTAGAATCTGTTTCGTCCTGAAAAGATTCAAGCTACAGGTGGATAGAAAAAGATTACTGGAGTACTCATTGCCAGTCTTGATTGGTGTTTCTACTGATCTTTCCATCTACTTCATTCTTTCTCTCCATCCCTTCTTTTCATCCTCTTCCCTCCTATCTTCATTCCTTCGCCTCTGACCTTAGAAAGCCTTCCAATATTTGTCACATATGCCTCAAAAGCAATGAGTGTCATCTGTTGTCTTGCTGGGATGTCACTCACTCTGAAATGCTGAGTATTTGGGGGCCATTGGCAACACACCTCACATTGCCCCTGAGCCATTGCCTTTGGCCAATACATTTGTGACATACTCACCCATGTTCATGCAAACTCAATGGAAGGCTGGACATTTAACATGCACAGATTTCCCTCCTCCCCCTTGCACTCTAATGAGACATGAGATCGTTGCTGGCTAGGATGTCCACCTGCAAGCTGGGAGAAGTATCATAGGAACATTTAGGCAGGAATTCTTGGCCCGAGTGGTCCCGCCTGGTGTTCCGCCTCAGTCACCTGGCTTCCGGTCCCCCAGCCCATGTGTTGCGGTGGCTCTGTGCCCTATCACAGCTTGGTAAGGGGCCATCAGCAGGGCTGCTGCCGAGCAGACATGGCGAGTCTTCACTTTCTGTGGTTGGTTCCCTTCTTTTCCCATATTGCTGCCTGGCAGGAACAGAGCTTTGATGCCTAACAAGCTCAATGACTTTCCCTCCCTGAGCTGAGAACACAAGAAAGGGGGAAGCAAAGAGAGATTAAACACTACGACCACAAATACTCCCATAGCATTCTACCCTCAACAAAGTGCCGCTTACACGCACAGTCACTTCATCTTCCAGCAACATTGTGAAGGATACTATTACTCTATTCCCGTTGTATGCCTGTGAAACTTGAGAGTGAGACAAACTATTTTTAAAATAATTTAATGTACTTATTTGCCATCTACTTCATTTCACAAAGGTTTTAAGATATCTTAAAGACGTGTGTGCCGAACTATAGGTTTAAAAACAAATAAGGAAATTGGGGTAAATGCAAAATAAGAAGAAACTAGTGGAAAGTTCACCTCTAAGTATGAAAAAGCTAGCTGAGAGTTTGGATACCCAGTGGATACCATGAGGTGCCATGCCCTTGTTCACAGTGGGCTGCAGATTTCGCCCTGAGATTCCTTGCCTACCATGGTAGAAAAGAAACCCACAGAAGCAACCAGATTTCAACTGCTTGTTAGACTTTTTTGAACTGTCATTCAGGAAATTTTCAGGAATCCTAGACACTGAAACCTAGAGGAATTTGTCTAGCAGGTTTTCCTGAAGGGCACAGTGTGTGACGTAGTGCATATTGTGCCCATCATAAATACAATAGTAAGTTTTGCAGGGCACATGAGAGCTGGAATCACTCACTCAAAGTCACCCAACTGGTAAGCAGTCAATCGCAGTCCTTTGATCCCATGTCTCATCACATTACCTGTCACTGGTTATTTGTGGTCTCTTCTGTTTACTTGTAAGGATCATTTTCAGAGTCCTTATCAAGGTCAGAAAACATCCATCTGAAATGAACATGAGCATTTGAGGATTAATAGTAATAATAACAACATTAACAATAATAACAACAATGGTTACTGTTGCCGGTTGCTTGCCTAGCAGGTACTGTGCTAAGTGCTTTACAGTATGTCATTTTATAGAATTCTCACAAAATCCTATGTGGTGGATGACTGTTATCCCCCATGATGAGGAAATAAATGGATTCAGAAAGGCTAACAACTTGACGAACATGAAATGTCTAGTAAGTAATCCAGCTGGGATTTAAACCCAGGCTTGTCTGACCCACAGCTCTTGCCTTTACCCACCAGGCGTCACTCTCTCACCCTGAGAGAGGTAGTATCACCCTGTTGAGTGTTCTAGTAGCTGTGGCGGCTGAGTTCAAAGACAGAATTATCAGAGGAGGTCAGAGGGGAAGTCCACGGATCCACAGGCAGCAGAGTGCCTCAGGACAGCCATGTATACCATCTGTGTCCCGGCCTGGCTTTGGTGTCCATCTCTACTCAAAATGGCAGCTCAGTAGGAAGCTGACCTTGACAAGTCGAGAGACAGAGCTGCATGTCTGCCTTGCAATTTTGAGTTGGGGCTGATCTCAAAGTAACAAGACATGGCTCCTTCTGCACCTGTCCTCTTCCTGCTCTATCCATGACATCCTTGGTCTCTCAGGTCCACAGTACAAGATCTTTCTGAGGTCTTAGTTAATTAAAGTATGTGGGATGAAAAGCAAGAAAACCAACTTCTGAACTGGCCCAGAGACAGAACTACTGCTGGCAGAAATAGAGTTTCCATTGCTTTTTGTCTGTATAAATTGATATATTTAAGTAGAGAGAGAATCTACTTCGCTCATGGGAAATCTGAATATGAACTAATCAGGGATTTATGTTGGCCACAGCAAAAGAGAGTATGATGTTTACTCATGTGTTCAGCAAACATTCATTATTTGCTTGTTACGTGCCACGCTATGCTTGGTTCTTTGGGCAAAATGGGGAACATAAGACCCAGCACCCACTCTCCTCAGAGATGAGCATGTGCGTAGTATAGACAAGACAGTGAGTGATGGGTATCTAGGTATATTTCTGTTTGTAGTAGAGAGGGGTGGCTTTCAAACTGAGCCATGATAACATTTCAACAGGCAGAGAAGACTTAAGGCAGGGCATATTAGTTTGCAAGGACTATTGTAACAAGTGACCACCAAATGTGTAGATTAAAACAATAGAAATGTATTCTCTCACAGTTCTGGAAGCTAGAACTCTGAAATCAAGGTGTTGACAGAGCTGTGTTTCCTCTGAAGGCACAAGAGAAGGATCCTTATTTGCCTCTTCCTAGCTTCTGACAGCTCCCAGCGTTCCTTGACGCTACTTGGCTTATAGCTGCATCACTCTCATGTTTGTCTCCATCTTCATATGGGCTTTTTCTCTATGTGTATCTCTTTGTGCCCTCTTTTCTTCTTATAAGAACACTAGTCATTGGGTTTAGGGCACACCCTAATCTAGTCTGGCCTTAACTGATTGCCATCTGCAAAGAACCTATGTCCCAATAAAGTCTGGGGTTCCAGGTAGACTTAAGTTTATGGGGGACACTCTTCAACCCACTACACGAGGGAAGAGACAATTTAATAAACCACTGAGGTCGGTGGAAGCAAGACATGTTTGCAGAATGTTATTAGACATTTCCGGGGTCCTGAAGAGAATAGGAAGCATACCAGAGAAGTATGTTCTGGCCAAAGTATGAAGCGCCTGGATACTAATATAGAAGTTGGAACTTTAGTCAGTAGACAGATGGGAAGCCAGGACAAATTCTGATCAGGTTACTGATGAGACACTTATTGAATACTAATTTAGCAAAGGTTGAAGCAAAGGATTGGTAGACCCATCTCATTCAGGAACTGTGAACTTAGGTCAGATCAACGTTTGGTGAGATTGACCATGATTTGATGAGTTTAACTAGGGAAAAATTAAGCCCTGAACTTCTCTTTCAAGGATGAAGTCAGTGGTAGGACTTTTGGTAGGTTTTCATTCATGCAACAAATATTTATTGAACACCCACTATATGCCAGCCTTATTTTGTTTTTGGCTTTTTGAAGGAGACTTTTTATTATTTTTATATACAGAAAACTGAACAGTGTACATTTAACCCAGTTTAGTGGCAAGTCTTTTAGCTTCTGCCTCTTACAGCTTGGCAACACAAGCCACAGATTTTGGACCAAGGACCTTGCCTCCTCAGTGATGTGGGATCTCATCATATCTGTCATTATAATTGGTCCTGATGGCTTCTACCAGCTTAGCCAAAGCGCCTTTGTCTTCCAAGTTAATGTGTGTGAAGGCAACAGTAGTGCAGATCTCCCTGTGGACTAGACACCCCAATTTGGCCATCTCCTTGATAATACAATAGGGGACTCCCTTCTTAGGACTCAGGGCAAGCGGGAAGACAGCCAGCTCCATGGGATCCACATCATGTGCAGTCACCATCGGCTGAGCTTTCTTGTTCTCTACTGAGGTGGTAAGAGTATTAACTCCTGCTGGAAGGACAGGTGGCCTCTTCGTGGGGACATTCCCTTTGCTGGCAGCTTTCTTCTCAATGCAGGCCAACAATCTTCTTCTCTTGCTTTGTCTCTAGCCAGTTTAAGCAGTTGAGTAGCTGTTAGGGGTCCAAGTCATGGGTGAATTGGTTAATCACAGGAGTCATTCTGAGCTGCTTATAGGGTAGCCCTTTACTACTATAGCCAGAAGTAGTGGGAATATTTGACAAAAGGACTAAGGTCCCTTTGGGGCTGGAGGTCCTGTCTTATGCCAACATTCTTAAGCCTTTTCTCGAACAGGGGATTCACCACCCTCTTGGCCTCCTACTTTTTAATGACAGCAGGAGCCAAGGCCGTCTTCTTCCCCTTGGCCTTTTTTTCTTTTGACATCTTGGGCAGCTGGAGGAGAAAGCTCTAGCATTGTTTTAAGCTGTAGGGATACAGCCATGAAGAGTCAGGCAAGGTTTCTGCACTGAAGGAATTTGAACTTGAACGAGAAGAGAGACTAAAAAACAGGTGAATAATAGTTTTATGAGGGTATTCCTATTGAGTTGATCACCATTGGAAGCACAATGTTTCATGCTTAGCTTTGCCCATGTATATGTATCTTGCACATCCATAGTGAGCCTTAAAAACTGGCCACAGATTTTAGGGATGAAACACAGTTTTGCCACATATTTACATTGTAATTTTGGAACCATGTAATCACTGCTATGGGTCTTTAATTGGCATATTAACTTAAAGTTTCTGTTTCCCAATACATAGACAAATGCCGCATTTAACTGAACCTTGCAAGTGGGAGCCTTGGGAACGGAAATAATCTCCCCTAATTTATCTGATCAGTGTCATTTTTCTTGAGAATAAAGTCTACAGTGAGATTGCCAATCTTTAATTTTATTCAGTGAAATTACATGTTTCCTTTCAACTTCTCCAAATACCTTTGCCTGATAGAATTAGAGGTGCCATTTCCAGTTCCTTCTAGCTTGAGGATGGCAGCCTGGCTAACATCAAAACCTCATACTTCCTACCAGGAACTGTTTTGCTTGTGTTTATGTTTGTCTATTTATGGCTATGTTTTGGGATGATTTATATAAAAATAATGTTATTTTCTTCATAGCTTTCTCTAATACTCAGACTTTGTCACTTCTTTGCTTTGGTGCAAAGAGGGACTCAGTCCTCTAGAGTGGCAATTTGCACGCAAAGTTTTGGTGGAGTGAAGAACTTCCAATCTCATTGCTTCATGTAGACTTGGCATGTTCTGGGAAGGAAACCCACCTATGTTGTGGTGTGCCTTTCAGGAAGGATTTTTGCTAGTTGAATCTGGGCTCTGCAGTGGTGTGGTTTCTCGCCAATTTGAGCAGAAGTGAACCCTCTGTATTGCAGCTGTGCAGAATTTTCCACTGACCTCCATGGAGGCTTGAAAGCATGCTATTCTCAGCTCTTGTTGCACCTTAGTACACATGTGCTTCAATGTGACATTACTCTCGGGCCCAACCTCTTCGGTTTTATGTCCTGCTGCAGCACCAAGCATCTTTTGAGTAGGAGGAGATGAGAGACACAATCCATCTTGTAGTTGAACTGGTGAAGTCATAATATTTTTGCAGCCAGTGCTAGAAGCTGAGTCACAATGAGTGTGATTCAGGCCTTGAGTTTTCACCCAAGGTAATTTTGAGAGGTGTGAAGTCAAAAAGACCCACAGTTGTCACTGCCCCCATAGAAAAAGCCCTGAGCACTGAGCTTCTGTAACCAAGGCAGAGCCCAGTCTATACCTGGAACCATTCCAGTTTTTAACTTTTATGTCTTTCATTTGCCTCAAGAATGAATGACCTCATTCAGAAAACACTGTCAGTCATTTGCCCACCTTTTAAAGTCTGTCTTTTTTTATTTTTATCTTGGTCATGTTAACCATGTTTTTAGAAAGGGGAAAAAGCTAACTTTTTTTCTAAAATTAATATCTCAGTAAAAACTCACATAATTAAGAGATTTGGTAGACTGGCATTGTCTTAGTTTGGAAATGGGAAGTTCTAGATTTCAGATTTAAGTTCAGCAGGGATTTGACCCTTTCCTCAAATGTAGAAGGTGCTTGAAAGACATTCAGATATAAAGGGTTACCTTAGAAATCTGTAGCTTTTGCATTTTTTAAATATTATGAATGAAAGGCTTATAAGCACACACATACAGACTGGAGAGTTCTTATCAGGGGTCCAAGAGGAGGGCCCTGGCAGAGATCAGAAGACCTGTGTTCCCAGGTCACAGCTTTGTGCTGAACCAGAGGTGTGACTTTGAGGAAGTAGCTTAATTGATCAGTTCTCGGTTTCCACATCAACAAACTGAAGAAAATAGAACTGACTTTGCAGGGTGTTATGAGAACAAAAAGTTATGTCAAGGGTAGAACACCTAACGGTGCTTGAACCGTAGCGAGCACTTAATAGTCTGCAGTGGTGTTCACATGAATAATTACTTGAACTTCAGGGTGTTATTCTGACTATTCATGACTTTGTGTAAAATTCACTTAGACACACATAGTGAAATTGGAAACTGCAAAGAAAACCAACCTAAGTGGTAGAGGAATTGAAAAGGAGGCTCATAAAAAAGTTTGAAAGAACTGATTATTAATTGTGGAGAAGTGAAGACTGGAGAGTCACTGAATGACTATCTTTGAGGCGTGTGGGACATCATTATATGAAAAATGATACCGGGCTGTTCTTCTTCACCGTAGAGGTCAACGGAACCAAGGCAGGCAGGACAGGGCAAAGCCAAAGAATGAAAGTAGAAACAGTAGAGATGATAACATATAAATGAGGAACTAAAATGTAGAGAGAGCAAGGGGGATGCAGTCCCAAGGAAGATGCCAGTAAAGTTCATGTCAACACTTCCCATGAACTCCTAAGGTCTAAAGGCATATCCCCAGCATGGGGGCAGTTCCCCGTGGTTCAGCCTGCATGCCCCATCTCTTGCTGTTGACACTAGCTTGTTCATGGGTTCTGTCCATGAGTGCCTTACCCAGCGTAGTTGCAGTTAATGCCTGGCACTTTGCTTAGAGCAGTGATTCTCAGCTGAGGTCAATTTGCCTCCCCAGAGTGTGTTAGTCTGCAGGCATTTTTGGTTGTCACAGCTGGAGAGAAGGGGGTGCTTTTGACACCTAGTGGGTAGAGGCCACAGTTATTGCTAAACATCCTGCAATGCACAGGCTGGCCCCCCACAACAAGGAATTATCCTGTCCCAAAATTTCAATAATGCTACTTTTTAGAAACCTTGAGTTACAAGAATAGAATATCCTAGCATGAGCTCCTTAAGATTTACTAGTTTATGCCAAAGCATTTTTTTTTCTCCGTTTACACCAAACCATACAACTGAATGGTTAGAGGACTTAAACAGTTGCTATTCTAAAAAAATGTGTGGATTACATTATAATCATGTGTTTCTTAGCTGTCTGCTATACTTGGGTTTAAAAATATTTATATTTCTAAATAAGCAACTGATTCTTTGTATAGGGAAAATAACATGCATTAGAGCTCCAGGGGGTATGTTGCAGATACCACCTTCCACGCTTCCTCTGCCCAGCATTTTGCGGGCCGATTAATCGCTGCCTTCAAGGACTCCCAAGGCAGTGACTGCCCTACAATCAGAGTGTTGTGGTTGAGACTAAGGCATGACATTGGGTGGGGAAAATTCCCTAGAGCCTGCACACTGGCCAGCAACAAAGGGAGGACTCTAAAGAGTGAGTCGCATCGGTGTACAACGTACCGATGCCCTGGAAACATTGCTATTCAGTGACTCTGGGAATAAATCATGCTTTCTTGACTTAATAATACATTGCTGTTTCTAAATAATATAAGTATATGTTGTGTGCGTCCATTTGTAAACTTTCTGAGTCTTCTGAAATCCAGACACAGCATGAAAACACATGCTATATTTGATTCTTGCATAAATAGCACAGATTTTAATTTTATCCCAGTTATGGATATCTGGCGTGTGCGCTGATACTCTGGGCAGACTGGTGTGAAATTTAATTTGAGCAGTTAAACACAAGGGTGAGAGAGTGCAAAATAAACAAGCACACGCATTTCCAGCCCTACAGCATTTGGTATGTTAACGGGAAAAGCACCCAAATCCTCTCTCTCTTTTATTTTTTCCCTCTGACAATCAGATTACAGACTGTCTAAAAAGACACAAATCCTCCCTGTCTCCTGCGCAACCCCACCTCCCCCGATTGTTGCCTGCAGTCATTTCATTTGTGAGCTCTTCATAGTTGGAGTTTTAGTGAATGAAAGTGTACAGGTTTGCTTTCAGACTTGATATTAGATGAGAAATCCCCTTAGTTTCAAAAGGAGGGAAGAGTCTCTTTGAGAATACCTTAGAAGGGGAAATGAGAATGGAATTGGAAATAGTGAGAAATAATAGATTTACAGTTAAGCAGACCTGGTTTCACATCTCTGCTTTGCCAACTGCAATGTCTATGACCTTTGGAGAGTTACTTAAAGACTCTGTTGCCCATTTGTACTTATTTGTAAAAATGAGAGTAACTCCAGCCTCATAAAGTTGCTGATAGAAAGGTACCAGAACATAGGTGCCTGGTGAATGTCAGTTTCTTTCCCCATTAAAGACATCTGTAAGTCCAGCCTCAGTTGCACTTGCTGAGGAAGGAAGGCATGCTAATGGTTGTTGTCAGTAATCATTAATGTTGGTAAAAATTGCAGCTACTTCTATTCCTCCCCCTTGCCTTAATCACCTCCATTCAGGAATTAGCAAGCACCTACTAGCCCACCCCACCTCTATTTATAGGTCATTCTGGGTATTAAGTACACAAAGAGCTTTTGGTCTTAAAAACACCCACTCATTCCTGAGGAATATGTTGTTTGGGGGTTAGGGGAGGGGCAGGGTGCATGTGTGTCAGTTCAAGGAACCAGATCCACGAGGAGCAGCAAGATTGGGTGAGTTTCTTCTTGTATTCCAAAGAAAGAACTTCTGTTTTGCCATCAGTAAAAATTCCCATCTTTCCATTCAATTTGTTTCCACAGAAGAGCGTGTTGTCCCCATTGAAGTTTGCCGGTCCAAACTGTCCAAATACTTGCAGGGAGTAGTTTTCCGCTGTGATAAGTGTACCTTCACCTGCTCCAGTGATGAGAGCCTCCAGCAACATATAGAAAAGCACAATGAACTGAAACCTTACAAATGCCAGCTCTGCTACTATGAGACCAAGCACACGGAGGAACTGGACAGCCACCTTCGGGATGAGCATAAGGTACTTACCAGGACTTCCTGCTCCCGCCTCAGCACACTTGTGGGGAGGGGCCAAGGGGGAGACACCACTGCATTTAGTCACGACCACTGTGTACCAGATGGAGATGTGGACTCAAAGAGCTTTTAAAGTGAGGTCTAGTTTCTTCTATTAGAAACGTAAGGTCATTTTTAAAAATTGCGAAACACAGGTTGGGTGGAAGGGAAATCACCCATAATTCTACCACACTAGTCCAAATGCTGAACATTTCTGGTCTGTTCTCTAGACCCACTTTCATTTGTTTTACGTAATTGTGATTATACTATACATAAAACATGATACCTTACATTTTTTAAAGCTTATTCTAAAAGAAGTATTTTGCTATGTTATTTGAAATGTTAATACATTTTAAATGACAGGGTTTGGCAGTTTCTATAAAGGACCGGAGAGCAAATATTTTAGCCTTTGCAGGCCTAAAATGTAGTCTTTGTGGCAATTAAGAAAGCAGCCATGCTGGAGTTCAAGACCAGCCTGGGCAACATGGCGAAACCCCATCTCTACAAAAAATACAAAAGATTAGCCAGGCATGGTGGTGTGCACCTGTGGTCCCAACTACTTGGGAGGCTGAGGAGGGAGGATCACTTGAGCCTGGGAGGTGGAGGTTGCAGTGAAGTGAGATAGCACCACTGCACTGGAGCGTGGGCGACAAAAAAAGAAAGAAAGCAGCCATAGACAATACATAAATGAGCCAACATGACTATGTTCCAGTAAAAGTTTATTTACAAAGACAGGCAACAGGCTGTGGGCCCACAGTTGCCAACCCCTGTTCTGATAGAATTACCTCTGTGTTCCTCAATCGTGTAGGTGGTTTCCAATATTTTGCTAACTACAAAGATTTGTCAAGGCATTACCCAGTATGTCTGAACATTATAAGGATTGTAAAATATATGTTTTGGGAGGAAGGAGACTCGAGAATGAATACATTAGTACAGGACATAAAATAGAGGATTTGTGAAAAAAAATTCTCTTCCAGAGGTTTGCCGATCAGAGGGTAGAAATCACACAGGACAACTTCCTCACTCTGCACAGGGCTCATCTGGCATCTCATGAACTGAGATGATCATTTCTGGTATTGCCCAGAGTACAGAAGGAGCTATAATTAGTATTTGTTTAATGACAAGAGCCTATCAAAATGCTTTTTAATTAGCCAACAAGTCCAAAATATCTATTGAGTATTTACTGAAGGCACAAGGAGAAGCACTTTTGATATTGTTTGCTTTTTCCTTGCTCTGTATCCTCATGAGTGGAAATATAGTCCTTCTTTTCTGGCCTTACAAACCCACATTATAAAGAATTTAGTCTGAATCATCTGCACCCATGGGTTAGAATTGTTCTGTGGGGTGTTGAGAGAGAAGGCTGAGCTTTGTCACCTGTCCACAATGGACCAGTTTAATGGTAACTTCTCTGCTTTGGAATGCACTTATTTTCCAATGTGTCTGCCCGAGAAAATGAAGCAAAGAGGAAAAGCCTGAATTACCTCACTTAAAATTTTTCATATCCTTTCTTTTTCAAACTTCCTGGGCATTTCTTCCCCAAACTTAAGGGTAAATTACTCATCTTTTTCAAACAAAGCTTTCTATAATTATTCACATGTATCTTATTTACGTAACTACCTCAGACCTTTTTATTACAGTGTTTAAGCCTCCGGGCTGATATTTTCAGACAGAACAAATCAGAAAGAAGATTCTTCTCTAGTTGTTGCACGGTAGCTTGCAAATCACTGAGGAAATCCAGAAAATGTTAGAAACCATAGAACCAGAGGGTTCCTCAGCAGTGGGCGGAAGGCTGAGGCTTTGAGGTATGGATCATGGAAATGAGTTGCTCAGGAACATAGGGCCCAATTAAGAGCTTTTGAACCAAAAAGATCTGGGTTTTAATCTTGTCTCCACCATTTACTGTGCATATTTCAACAAATTACTTAAATTTCTGGGTCTGTTTTCCAGTTCGTAAATGGGAATTGTTATACCTTTCTCAGAAGTTTTGTAAGATTAAATGAAGTCCTGTATCTCCTCCACTTTGAGACCCAATACATTCCTTAGAGTATTTGTTAATTGAATTGTGTTCAAATATAATAATAGATGTACCTATCATAATGGCAGCTGTGTTCCCAAAGACCTAAAACATATTACAAAACCACTAATTATACTTTGCATCTTAGACACGGTCTTTTTTAAAAATTATTTTTCCATTGAGTATTGCGATACAAGTGGCATTTGGTTACATGAGTAATTTCTTTAGTGGTGATTTGTGAGATTTTGGTGCACCCATCACCCCAGCAGTATACACTGCACCCTATTTGTAGTCTTTTATCCCTTGCCCCCCTCCACCCTTCCTCCCAAGTCCCCAAAGTCCATTGTATTATTCTTAGGCTTTTTTTCCTGATAGCTTAGCTCCCACATATCAGTGAGAACATACCATGTTTGGTTTTCCATCCCTGAGTTACTTCACTTAGAATACTAGTCTCCAGTTTCATCCAGGTCGCTGCACATGCCATTAATACATTCCTTTTTATGGCTGAGTAGTATTCCATCATAGATAGATAGATAGATAGATAGATAGATAGATAGATAGATAGATAGATAGATAGATAGATATCACAGTTTCTTTATCCACTTGTTGACTGATGGGCATTTGGGTTGGTTCCATGATTTTGCAATTGTGAATTGTGCTGCTATAAACATGCATATGCAAGTATCTTTTTCGAATAGTGACTTTTCCTCTGGGTAGATACCCAGTAGTGGAATTGGTGGATCAAATGGCAGTTCTACTTTTAGTTCTTTAAGGAATCACCACACTGTTTTCCATAGTGGCTGTACTAGTTTATATCCCACCAGCAGTGTAGAAGTGTTCGCTCTTCGTTGCATCCATGCCAGTATCTACTGGATTTTTTAAATTTTTTTTATTATGTCCATTTTTGCAGAAGTAAGGTGGTATTGCATTGTGGTTTCGATTTGCATTTCCCTGATCATTAGTGATGCTGAGCATTTTTCCATATGTCTGTTGGCCATCTGTATCTCTTCTTTTGAGAACTGTCTATTCATGTCCTTAGCCCACTTTTTCATGAGATTGTTTTTTTCTTACTGATTTGTTTGATTTCATTGTAGATTCTGATATTAGTCCTTTGTCAGTTGTATAGATTGTGAAGATTTTCTCCCACTCTGTGGGTTGTCTGTTTACTCTGCTAACTATTCTTTCTGCCATGCAAAAGCTCTTTAGTTTAAGTAAGTCCCAACTATTTATCTTTGTATTTATTGCATTTGGTTTTGGGTTCTTGGTCATGAAGTCCTTGCCTAAGCCAGTGTCTAGAAGGGTTTTTCCAATGTTATCTTCTAGAATTTTTATAGTTTCTCCTCTTAGATTTAAGTCCTTAATCCATCTTGAGTTGATTTTTGTATAAAGTGAGAGATGAGGATCCAGTTTCATTCTCCTACATGTGGCTAGCCAATTATCCCAGCACCATTTGTTGAAAAGGGTGTCCTTTCCCCACTTCATGTTTTGTTTGCTTTGCCAAAGATCAATTGGCTATAAGTATTTGGGTATATTTCTGGGTTCTCTATTCTGTTCCATTGGTATATATGCCTATTTTTATACCAGTACTATGCTGTTTTGGTGAGGAACAGCATAGTACAGTTTGAAATCAGATAGTGTGATTGTAGTAGTCTGTTTTCACACTACTGATAAAGACGTACCTGAGACTGGGCAATTTACAAAAGCAAGAGGTTTAATTGGACTTATAGTTCCAGGTGGCTGGGGAAGCCTCACAATCATGGCAGAAGGCAAGGAGGAGAAAGTCCTGTTTTACATGGATGGCAACAGGCAAAAAGAGAAGGAGGAAGACACAAAAGCGGAAACCCCTGGTAAACCATTAGATCTCATGAGACATTCACTACCACAAGAACAGTATGGGGGAAACTGCCCACGTGATTCAATTATCTCCCACCAGACCCCTCCCACAGTACATGGGAATTATGGGAGTACAATTCAAGATGAGATTTGGGTGGGGACACAGAGCTGAACCATATCAGTGATGTCCTCAGAGTTATTATTTTTGCTTAGTCTTGCTTTAGCTATCTGGGCTCTTTTTTGGTTCCATTTGAACTTTAGAATTGTTCTTTCTAATTCTGTGAAGCATGATGGTGGTATTTTGATGCAGATTGCATTAAATTTGTAGATTGCTTTTGGCAGTATGGTCATTTTCACAATGTTGATTCTTCCCATCCATGAGCATGGGATGTGTTTCCATTTGTTTGTGTCGTCTACGATTTCTTTCAGCAGTGTTTTGTAGTTTTCCTTGTAGAGGTCTTTTGCCTCCTTTGTTAGGTATATTCCTAAGTACTTTATTTTTTTGCGGCTATTTTAAAAGGGGTTGGGTTCTTGATTTGATTCTCCACTGGTCGCTGTTGATGTATGGAAGAGCTACTGATCTGTGTACATTAATCTTGTATCTGGAAACTTTGCTGAATTCCTTTATCGGTTCTAGGAGATTTCTGGAGGAGTCCTTAGGGTTTTTGAAGTAAATGATCATATCATCAGCAAACAATGATGGTTTGACTCCCTCTTTGCCAGTTTTGGATAACCTTTATTTCTTTCTCTTCTCTGATTGTTTTGGCAAGGACTTCCAGTACTATGTTGAAGAGGAGTGGTGAGAGTGGGCATCCTTGTCTTGTTCCAGTTCTCAGAGGGACAGCTTTCAACTTTTCCCCATTCAGTATTACGTTGGCTGTGGGTTTGTCATAGGTGGCTTTTATTACATTAAGGTATGTCCTTTGTATGCCAATTTTGCTGGGAGTTTTAATCTTAAAGCAATCCTGGATATTGTCCAATGCTTTTTCTGCATCTATTGAGATGAGCATGCGATTTCTGTTTCAAATTCTGTTTATGTGGTGTATCACATTTATTGACTCGTGTACGTTAAACTATCCCTGCATCCCTGGTATGAAACCCACTTGATCATGGTGGATTATCTTTTTGATATGTTGTTGAGTTTGGTTAGCTAGTATTTTGTTAAGGATTTTAGTGTCTGTGTTCATGAGGGGTATCAGTCTGTAGTTTTCTTTTTTGGTTATGTCCTTTGCTGGTTTTGGTATTAGGGTGATGCTGGCTTCCCAGAATGAATTAGGGAGGGTTCCCTCTTTCTCTATCTTGTGGGATAGTGTCAAAAGTAATGCTACCAATCCTTTGAGTACCAATTCTGGTAGAATTCTGCTGTGAATACATCTGGTCCTGGACTTTTTTTGTTGGTAATTTTTAAATTACCATTTCAATCTCGCTACTTGTCATTGGTCTGTTCAGGGTATCTAATTCTTCCTGATTTAGGCTACGAGGGTTGTATTTTTCCAGGAATTTATCCATCTCTGCCAGGTTTTCTAGTTTATGTGCGTAAAGGTGTTCATAGTAGCCTTGAATGATCTTTTGTATTTCTGTGGTGTCAGTTGTAATATCTGCCATTTCATTTCTTAATGAGGTTATTTGGATTTTCTCTCTTCTTTTCTTGGTTAATCTTGCTAATGGTCTATCAATTTTATTTATCTTTTCAAAGAACCACTCTTGTTTTATTTATCTTTTGTATTGTTTTTTGTTTGTTTGTTTCAATTTCATTTAGTTCTGCTCTGATCTTGGTGATTTCCCTTAACACTGCCTTTGCTGTATCCCAGAGGTTTTGATAGGTGATGTCATTATTGTCGTTTGGTTCAAAGAATTTTTAAATTTTCATCTTGATATCATTTTTGACCCAATGCTCATTCAGGAGCCAGTTATTTAATTTCCATGTATTTGCATAGTTTTGAAGATTCCTTTTTAGAGTTGATTTCCGGTTTTATTCCACTCTGGTCTGAGAGACTGCTTGATACAATTTCAATTTTCTTAATTTATTGAGGCTCATTCTATGGCTCGTCATAGTCTACCTTGGAGAAAGTTCCCTGCACTGTTGAATAGAATGTGTATTCTGTGGTTGTTGGATGGAATGTTCTGTATGTATCTGTTAAGCCCATTTTTTCCAAGGTATAGTTTAAATCCATTGTTCTTTTGTTGACTTTCTGTCTTGATGACCTGTCTAGTGCTGTTAGTGGAGTATTGAAGTCCCCCACTATTATTGTATTGCTGTCTGTCTCATTTCTTAGTTTAGACACAGTCTTTAACGTAATATTTTCACTATGCCATATTATGTTCTTTAATTTTTTTCTCTTCCTCATGGTTGACCAGCTTATTAAGTCCAGTGAGCACCTAATTGAAGCTAAAGAATTGCGACTTCCTGCATGCCTAATGATTCTCATGTTTGTCTCAATTGTTAGGTTTATGAGACTCATGCTTATTACTGAGATAGCAGTACTTTTTTTCTCATTTTCTAATCTTTTTTCCCTACATGATGAGTACAAAATGCAATTTGAATTTTTGAAATAATTCTCCAAAGACTTTTGTAAGTAAAGATGGCAGTGCTATTGAAACTGAATTTTTGGCTGACAGCCAGTGGAATTATGTGCTGGCTAAAAATGGTCATTTGTTAGGGGGAAAGATATACAAACACCTGATTTCAGGGTTCATGAGAGAGGAATAGGGGTATCAGTGTACAATGTACTGAACAGAATTATGCTGAAAATTCAAATATAAAAGTCAAGGACCATAATGCTAAAACAAGAAATTAAAGGCATGAGAATTGGAAAGGAAGAAACACAACTTTTTATTTATAGACAATTTGATTTTTATAGGGAGAAAATCCGCAGAATCTACAAAAAAAAGCTACTAGAACATGAATGAGCTTAGCAAGATTGCAAGATATAAAATCAATATACAAAAATCAGTTATGTTTCTGTATACTAGTAATGGACAACTGGAAAATGAAATTTTAAGAAGATCAGTTTCATGTACAATAACATCAAAAAGAATAAAAGTCTTAAGAATACATTTAACATGAGAACTATACACTGAAAACTACAGTGTTGCTGAGAGAAATTTATAAAACTAAATTAATGCAATATATACCATGTTTATTAATTAGGAGACCCAATATTGGTAATTCTTTTCATAATCATGTACAGATTCAACATAATCTCTATCAAAATCCCAGTAGGCTTTTTGGGGGTAGAAAGTGACAAACTGGCCCTAAAATTTATATGGAAATGCAAATGACCTATAGAATATCCTAGTGTGGAGAAACAACAAAATCAGAGGATTCACCCATCTTGATTTCAAAACTCACTGTAAATTGACGTAAGATAGATGCATAGATCAGTAGTGCAGAAGCAAAAGTCAAGAAATAAACCCTCATATATGTGGTCAGTTGATTTTCATAAAAGGTGTTAAGGTAATAGGGAAAGGATGATTTTTTTTTTAAATGGTGCTGAAACAATTAGATTTGTGTATGCAGATTATGACCCTTGACCTTTACAGCACTCTCTACACACACACACACACACACACACACACACACACACACACACAACAATCAAAATGGACCGTAAGCTTAAATGTGTGAGCTAAAACTATAAAACTTTCAGAAGAATAATAGAAGATTATATCATCTTGGGTTAGGGAAAAAAATTTTTATATATGATGCAAAAGTTATGGACAACTAAAAGAAAAAAGAAGACACCATTAAGAAAATGAAAAGGCAAGCAACAGACTAGAAGCAAATATTTGCAAAGTAATTATCTAACAAAGGGCTTTAACCAAAATATTTAAAGAAATCTTACAACTCAACAATAAGAAGATAAGCAATTCAGTTAAAAATGAGCACAAGATTTGAATAGACACCTTACCAAAGAAGATATACAAATGGCAAATAAGCACATGAAAAAATGTTCAGCTTGATTCACCACTTGGGAAATATAAATTAAGACAATAATAAGATTTTACTCCCCAACCACTAGCTAGCATGGCTAAAATTAAGAAGGCTGATAGTATCAAAGTGTTGGCAAGTATGTAGACAAACTGGAATCTCATACATTGCTGATTGGAATGTAAAATACCATAGCCACTTCGGAGCAGTTTGGCATTTGTTTATAAGTTAAACGTACACTTGCCATCTGACCTATCCTACCTTCACATAAAATGGATGGATAAATAAAATACGGCGTATCCATGCAATGGAGTACTATTCAGCGATGAAAAAGAATGAGCTATTGATACATTTAACAGCATTGAGGAATCCAAAAAATGTTACGTGGACAGAAGCTAGACACAAGAGACTACGTATTTTATGATTCTGTTTATATGAAATTTCTAGAAAAGGCAACATGATAGAGACAGGAAGCAGCTAAGAGGTTACTTGGGCCTGGAAGATGGGAGCAGGGATTGATTACAAAGGATATGAAGGAGCTTCTCAGAGTGATGAGAGTGTTCTTAAACATCATTGAGTTGTTTACTTATAATAGATAAATTTTATGGTAGGTAAATTATACCTCAATACCTAAAACAGATGCAAGTTTCCCATAACCCAACACACAGTAGGTCTTCAATAAATGTTAATTTCCTGTAGTCTTTTTATGACGTTCATCCTGAGAACAGTTATATCAACAAGATACTCAAGATCCGGATTAATGTGGAATAGACTTAGCAATTGGTTCCAAACAGGGATTCACTTTTTTTCCCAGTAAAACAGTGCATTGCTCATTATATTCTTCTACAAATAGCATTAGGTGATTTGTGTGGTGGGGAGAATCTACAGAATAAACTATAAGACACGTAGAATGTATTTTCAGTTAAAGGATTTCATTAAAAAGAACTGAACATTCAAAACTGGACTTCTGAATTCTGCCTGCAAAGGTTATAAACCTCAGGAACATCTGTAAAGATGTCAGACTATATCATCCACGGACTGGACAGAATCCTGGTACCAGCAAGAAAGGTCCTTAAAGTCAAATATACCATTCCTTTTAAGAACCAAAATCTCCAGTGCAGTCGATTTAGGCTGCATGTTTATCCTCAGAAGCCAGAGTGCAAAAGGGATAACCATCAGAACCCTCATTTTATAGGTGATAAACACAATCTTTCCTCCTAGATCTTTATCTTTGTTACTAGTGAGCGAGGCATCACTTGTAATCTCTTAGGATCTAAAGGAAACAGTGCAGGTTATTTGAAATTTTATTTTTTTATCCTGTGACTCCCTGTCTGTTTTTAATCTCAGTGGGTCCTCTAGAAGGTTGACTAGTGTAGTCTCTCCCTCCTCTCCCCCTCCCCTTTACTTCCCTCTCCCTTCCTTCACTCCCTGCATTCTCTGTCCCCCAACATTCTACCCCCCAACACACATAGTGAATTATTTATCAGTAATGCCCTTTATTAGCAATACTGTTGAAAGATGAAGACAACATTTTTTCTTTTTTGAGTCAGGGTCTTGCTCTGTTGCCCAGGCTGAGGTGCAATGGCGCAATCATAGCTCACTGCATCTTCAAACTCCTAGGCTCAAGCAATCCTCCCACCTTGGCTTCCCAAAGTACAGGAATTGCAGGTGTGAGCCACTGTGCCCAGCCTAAGACAACATCTTTAGGAACCTTAAAGTCATGAAGAAAAACAAACCTTGCACTTCTCACATTTAAAAAATACACACACTGTTTTTAAAAGAAAGTTTATATGCAATACCTTGTTAGTGTTCTTTATGGTTCTGAACTCTCTTTGCTAGTTTAAGGAACATAAAAATATATTATCTCTAACTTGGTCCGCTCGTAAAATTGTCATGTTCAGTATATTAAATTTAGAAGGATAGTCTATTCAGGCAATACACATTCACTAATTGAATTTACTTTGAAATGTTTTTAATTTTTTATATAAATGGAGCCTTAAGCAGTTGAACTCTTAAGAAACTCATATCTTACTTTTTGCCAGTTTGGGGAAAACAGCAAAACATTAAGCTCAGAAGGAATCATCAACTTTTTAGTTATTCTAATAAAATTGCTGAGTTTTTTGGACTAGTGAAATCCACAGTGGCCAAAAAAGTCACTTAGGACATTTGTTTCCAGAAAAGGAAATGAGAAATAAACGAAGAATCTTTCTCCAAAGATTCTTCCCAAATAAATCATAAGAAGAATTTTTCCCAAATCATAAAACACACCTTTGGCCACATTTTTTTTTGGATTGCTTTTTATTTCTGAACTAAATGCTAGCAGCTTTAGCTTTATCAACAGCAATGATTTCTGCAAGCTGAAGGCTTCTCTAGAAGACTATGCCATTTCGTTTCTGCTTTCCCTCATGCAGTTCTGCTTCTTGGTTTGTTAACTATAGCTCTGTCTCTTCCGTGTGTTGTAGAAGACAGAGAAACCAGAATTAGATGAGCAAGAGGTGTGACCGTTTTTCAGAGGGGTGTGTCTGGCAAAACCTTAAACAGTATTTCTCAAATAGACATTTGAAGATGTTCTTTACCTGTGCCTTCGAAACCATCCACTAAACTCCCCAGTCAAAATTCTTTGTCCCAGATTCAAAGCTTCCATAGAACTTTTCTCTTTCCTTTCTTAAGGCAGATTTATTTATCTCACCTTTCTTTCAAAATCTAACCTAGTGCCCAGCATACAGTAAAGCCTCAGGAATTGTTTGTTAAATAAATCAATAAATGAAATCAACTTTTCAAATATGAAATTTTAAGTATCCTGTTCAAATAAGCAAAATGTGGTAGCATCCATTAGCATCTTTTCCCTCTGTATTTTGGGTCCAGGAGATTGACAGCTGCTTAACTGGCCAGCCACAAAGCTCTGAGCCTTTCTTAATTATGTCTTTCACCTAGCTTCCTTGAGTACTTGTGTCTGAAGTTATGCTGAGTGTCTCCAAATAAGTGATTTTGTCTGGACTTTTGCTAAGTTAGGTATGATGGAAATATGTTTTCTGATTGTGACACAGTGATTGCAAAAGAAAGTAGATACCTTCCTTGACTTCTGTGCTCTATATCCTTCTGGGTACTCTATGATTCTTTGTTTTTAATATTCTTAGGCTTTTATTTTGAAAAAAATTCGGAAAGGATGCTACTGTTCTATCCCATCACATTTTGCAACATAACGTTATTGTTAATACTTTTTCTTTCTCATTCCTGTGTTCAGCCAGTATAGCCATGGTAGTTTTGACATATTTTGTGAGTAATTTTGCATTTCTGCAGATGATTTGCATTATAATGGGAAAAGCTTGAGCTGTGTCATGTGGAGATCTGAGTCCTAACTAATCCTGGCTTCATCACCTACCTGTTTTGTGATCTTCATCTACAAATATAGAAGGCAACACATTTACTGCACAATGGTCGTAAGGGATAAGTGATACATGTAAAAACTACTGGGGGCATTTTTAGCACTTAATAGTTACTTGGTAAGTATTGAAACAAAATCATTTAGAAAGTGCCTACTTTTATTCTCTCATTAACAAGCAACTTTATTTCATGGGATGCAAATCTTATGGCAATTTTTTTATTATTATTATACTTTAAGTTCTAGGGTACATGTGCACAACGTGCAGGTTTGTCACATAGGTATGCATGTGCCATGTTGGTGTGCTGCACCCATTAACTCGTCATTTACATTAGGTATATCTCCTAATGCTATCCCTTCCCTCTACCCCCACCCCATGACAGGCCCCAGTGTGTGATGTTCCCCACCCTGTGTCCAAGTGGTCTCATTGTTCAATTCCCACCTATGAGTGAGAACATGCAGTGTTTGGTTTTCTGTCCTTGTGATAGTTTGCTCAGAATGATGGTTTCCAGCTTCATCCATGTCCCTACAAAGGACATGAACTCATCCTTTTTTATGGCTGCATAGTATTCCATGGTGTATATGTGCCACATTTTCTTAATCCAGTCTATTATTGATGGACATTTGGGTTGGTTCCAAGTCTTTGCTGTTGTGAATAGTGCCACAATAAACATACGTGTGCATGTGTCTTTATAGCAGCATGATTTGTAATCCTTTGGGTATATACCCAGTAATGGGATGGGTGGGTCAAATGGTACTTCTAGTTCTAGATCCTTGAGGAATCACCACAGTCTTCCACAATGGTTGAAGTAGTTTACAGTCCCACCAACAGTGTAAAAGTGTTCCTATTTCTCCACAACCTCTCCAGCACCTGTTGTTTCCTGACTTTTTAATGATCGCCATTCTAACTGGTGTGAGATGGTATCTCATTGTGGTTTTGATTTGCATTTCTCTGATGGCCAGTGATGATGAGCATTTTTTCATGTGTCTGTTGGCTGCATAAATGTCTTCTTTTGAGAAGTGTCTGTTCATATCCTTTGCCCACTTTTTGATGGGGTTGTTTGATTTTTTTCTTGTAAATTTGTTTAAGTTCTTTGTAGATTCTGGATATTAACCCTTTGTCAGATGGGTAGATTGTAAAAATTTTCTCCTGTTCTATAGGTTGATCTTATGGCAATATTATGAAGTCTTTATACCTTATGATCTCTCATGGGTTTTCATGTTACTGGTAAATTCAAATAGCATTTATTGTGTGTCAAGTGTATGACTCTGCACTGAGCCTATAAAGCTAAGTAAGAAATGGTTGCTACCCTGGAAGAGTTTATAAGCAACTAGGTGAGACAAGTTTAAACAAAGAAGCACAATTCAGCATGTTACTTGCTTGATAAGAGGTAGTTTTAAAATTGGAGAGGAGCACAGTGCACAACAAATATAGTTTCATGGCTCAGGTTCCATAGAACTTCAATACTGCCTAACTGGTTTGTTTGGCTGAATATCTTTTCTTTCTTTCCCCCCCCAGCTTTATTGAGGTATAATTGATAAATGAAATTGTACATATGTAAGGTGTACAATGTGATGGTTTGATATATGTGAAGAAAAGGGGAACCCTTGTGCACTGTTGATAGGAATGTAAATTGGGAGAGCCATTAGAGAAAACAGCACGAAAGCTCCTCAGAAAATTAAAGATAGAACTACCATATGATACAGCAATCCCACTTCTGGATATTTAACTAAAGGAAACAAAATCAGTGTCTCAAAGAGCTACTGCACTCCCATGTTCCCTGCAACAGTATTCACAATAGAATAGCCAAGACATGGAAGCAGCCTAACTATCCATTGATGGATGAATTTTTTAAAAAGTGGTACATAAACACACAATGGAATATTATTCAGCCATGGAAAACAGACATTCTACCATTTGGGACTGTATGGACAAACTTTGAATATCCTTCCTTGAAGCTTTTACAAGAACTCTAATTGAGGTGCTCTTATCTGAGAATTCAAGATTTTTTTACCTGCACTTTTGACCATCTTGCTGTAAGAAATCGTAGAGACAATACTTTGCTGAATCTTTGTCCCACTGTTTTCTTTCCCTCATTCCCATTCTGATTTTTAAGGACAGGCAAAGAAGATCTGTCTGTTGAGTAGACCACTTGGTACGTTAGGGGTTGGCAAACTATGATGCATGGACCAAATCTAGTCCACCTCCTTTTTTATATGGTCCACTCTCTAAGGATGGTCTTGACATGTTTTAGTGATTGAAAAAGTATCAAAAAAATTGTAATGTGAAATATGAAATTCAGATTTCACTTTCCCTAAATAAAGCTTTATTGGAATACAGCCATGGTCATCCATTGACTTATTGTTTATGGGTTGCTTCTGAGCTACAACAGCAGTTGAATAGTTGTAACAAAGACTATAGAGTCCAGAAAGCCTAAAAATATTTACTTATCTGGCCCTTTACACAAAAAGTTTACCAGCCTGTGTTATAAGTCATTCAAAATCTTCACAGCGCTGCACATTCTTTTTAACATCAACATGCAGTATTAGGTAATATGAGCATCCTGGTTGGGTGCCTCTTTTTGAAGCTACAAATGTTAAGTAAGAGGGGCAACCTTAGAGTTAAAAATTCTGGAAACATTAAGTGGACTTTCTCAATCTCAGTCTGTCCTATTTGATGCCTGCAATGTAATCTGAAGACAAGGGTTCCAGTTCCATTCTATCATTAGCAAGCACATTCATATCAGTCTTCTATCAGACTGGGTTTGCTATCCTAGTACAATATGAAAATGCATATTCAACTTGATAATATTTGTAAATCACATATAATTATTATCACCTTAGAATATGCCAGAAGTATGGAAATACATGCTAAGACCAGATCTAAACCATTTTGCTGAATAGTTAAAAGCCAACAAATAGACAAGTGTGGAAGTGGTTTTGCAGTGTCCTCACTTCATTGTTAAAGGATAAAACATTTGACACCTCATCTCACTTTTATTTTTATTTATTTATTTATTTTTTGAGATGGAGTCTTGCTCTGTCACCCAGGCTGGAGTGCAGTGGCATGATCTTGGCTCACTGCAACCTCCACTTCCCAGGTTTAAGCAATTCTCCTGCCTCAGCCTCCCAAGTAGCTGGGATTACAGGTACCCGCCCACCACACCTGGCTAATTTTTGTATTTTTAGTAGAGACGGGGTTTCACCATGTTGGCCAGGCTGGTCTCAAACTCCTGACCTCAAGTGATCGACTCATCTCAGCCTCCCAAAGTGCTGGGATTACAGGCGTGAGTCACCGCACCCAGCCCTCATCTCACATTCTCATTAGACAGATGACTTCACCAAACTCTGGGTTAGTGGCCTTCACAGGGGACCTTGAGTGAATGGGCATTCACAGATAGCTTTCACAGGAATAAAGATCTGCATATAGGTTTCTAGTCTGAATTATTATGTATCTGAACAATCCACCCTTCAAGAACATATACGGCTTCTTTTGCCTGCAGAAAGAGCCTGGAAGGAGCTGGGTTCTAAATCTCAAACTCTTAAGCTTGCTCCTTCTCCCTTTGTTGTGGGCCTTTGGGGAAATGATAATAAACTGCTTCTCATCTTTAGAGGAAACAAGTGTGTTTCTCTCAATATGTCATCTGCATCATCAAGGAGTTATTCAAATACCCACCAATCTCCGGGCCCAAAAAGTAGTGTAATCAGTTCAAAATATATGGGAACTTTTATAAAGTCTATACCCTTTGACTTTGACCCTGTAATTTCACATCTGGAAATTTAGCCTATAAAATTAAAACTAAGCATGAAAGAAAGGCTTAAATACAATAAGGTTTATTACTTTTTGTGACAAACATGTTTAATAGTGGAAAGCCAGAAATCATCTACCGTAAATTCATACGGGAATGAATAGTCAAGTAAACTATCATATGCCTACTTGATGAAATGCTATGTAGTGATTAAAAATTATGTTTATTCAGAGAATGATGTGTACACTATGCCAGGCATGAAGAAGTTGGATATACACTTGTTTGTTTTAAAATGATAACAGCAATGTAAATAATCTACAGATAGAGAACAGGAATACAGAAATACATTAATTCATTAACAGTTATTATGTATAGGTAGTTGGACTTTAAATGAGTTTTTCTTATTTTCATAAATTTTTTGTGAATGTTTATATAAAAGAAACTATTTTAAATGAAAATGAAGATATCCAGTAGCCAGGAGGCGAGAATAACACCCTCTCTTAATCTAGACACTGTGCTGGCCAGTGGGGGTTCAGCTGTAAGTAAGACTCACAGCAAGTCTGTCCTCATAGTTTGTAGTTGGACTGGGGAGGGGCAGGCCATAAACAATTCATTACTGAATGGGGTGAGCTCTTGAAGGCGGGGTGCAGAATGCTGTGAACACATGGAACAAGGATATCGAACACAGGAGGAGTTTAGGGAAGGTCTCCCAGAAGAAGTGACAGAAGCAGGGCTAGGAGATTAAGGACTCAACACATGAAGCCGGCAGGCATGAGAGAGTGTCAGACAGGTGAGATGGTGGAGGCATAGACTCCTCGAGGGCCTGACATATTCCAGGACCTCAGTAAGTTCAGGGTGGTGGGAGCAAGGGGGAGCCTAGAGAAGATGGGCCAGAATAACATGAGAGCCCGCCATGTAAACGACAGTTAAGAAATTTGTATTTCATCCTCAGGGCAAGCAGAGACTGACATGAAGAGACTTACATTTTGTTAAAGATTGCTTTGACCACACTAAAGAATCAGGTACAAGAAGGGACAAGAGTAGGTGCTAGGAGACCAACATGGGAGGGGAAGGGGCTGGCAGTAATCCAGGTAAAAGATGATAATGGGCTCAGGAATGTGGAAAAGAGTCTTCCTTTTGTGTTAGGATTAATATTTGGATAGATGGCTTGGGGATTTCAAATACCGTCATAACCCAAAACAATAAAGAGTTTTTATTTTAAAATCTTCTAATTACATAGCAAAAATTTTAGTTCTCATTTTTAAATCTTTTAATTGCCTAGCAAAGATTTTAGAAATCTTCAGGACCAAATAAATCCTGGGTTAGCCTGGGATGAACATCATACTGTGAAAATGTCATGTACTATTTTAAAATCATGCAGAATTTAAAATGTTAACAGTTTTCCAGTGAAGGGATGATGGTGCTGGGAAAATGGACAAATACAGTCTTCAAAAAAACCCAGAATGAGGGGGAAAAAAATAACATTTGGTTTGGTGACAGATCTCCTTCTGTCACCAAGAGCTCCAAAAGAAGCAGGGGTTCCAGTGTGGACCCCAGAGGCTGGCACACAGCAAGCCAGCCCTCCAGGAATCCTTGATGAATGAATGAATGAATGAATTAAAACAACTGGATTAAAGCAGATGTTTGAGGATTCTTCTTTGGTCTCCTTGGTTTCATTGTTTTTGTTTCCTGGTGACAGCCCACCCCTCATGTCCTTTACACGTATTTATAGTTTCCCTGATTCCTAATGGTGAGAAGTGCAGGAGAAAGTGGCCCAGGAAAGGCTGCCTTTTATGTGCTAGTCACTTAAAAATACTTCTCTTCAAATATGTTTAAAAATTAGGCAAATTGGAACCTTGCCCACTTTTCCTGAAAAACTAGCAAGCCAGAAAACTTTTTATTCAAATATTTATCATGAATGCTATTTGGCTAAAATGTAGACTTTGTGGCTAAACATAACTTCGTAAATATGCATTTACAATGCTTGTTGTAAGCATTCCCAAGAGCCAAAACTAGAAAAGGCTCACATTCCCAGAAAGGGGAAGGAAATTACATTTTGGGGGACTGTTGTGTCTCAAGCACTATGCTGACCTCCTTTTACAAATGAAGATATCAAGGACATATACTGAGTGATTTATCCAGAATCTAGTGGTTAATGGCAAATCCTAAACTTGAACTCGGGTCTGTCTGACTTCAAAGAGCATTTTCTTATGCTATCCCTTTTTGCTCTTATGTCATAAAAGGAAATCAATGAAAATGTAAAAGCCCTAGTTAGTAAGGTGCTACAAGCAAAAGTCCTTTGGAAACCGTTACTGTGGACTTAGAGGGGAAGAAAGAGAAATCAGGATTCATAATTGACCTCTTTCTCCTCTTGCCTTAGTCCCTTAATTTTTATAGCTTTTTTAATTGAGAAAAACAAGAAGTTGCCTTCCCTGCTTGTTAAGCGTTGGCATTGTTGTCTGCGTCTTGTCCACCCCCATGTTGAGTTGTTTTCAAAGTTAACTAATTTCATGGATTTCATTGTTATAGATAGATCAGTGTATTGTTTCTCCTGTTTTAAAAGAGGTTTTTCCCTGAGTTCTTCTCCTCCTGAATGCTACCTATCTCTTACAGGATGTTGTTGGGACATTATTCAGTCTCAGTGTCTAAGGCCTGGTACGCTGAGGCTCTTTACATTTGTCACAGTCGATAATGATGTTCCCATCTGCCAGGCACATGGAATTGGTGGCATTCAGCAAATCTTTGTTCCAGTCTGGTCCCAAAGACTATTTTGGAATTGTCTTGTAAATTATCTCTTTCCTCTCCTGTGTCCTCATCATCTAGCTGTGTCCTCATCATCTAGCTGTGCCCTACTGTGGCAGCTAGGGAAGTCGGCCTCGGAATCTAATTAATGATGTCTGTCTTCCCTCTTCAACTCAACTGTGAGCCTCTGGAGGCCAGAACCAGGTCTCATTCATCTTGTATGTCCCCTCCCCAGGCCTCCAACAAGGGGAGCATAACACCTTACATAGAAGGCGTAGCCCATGGCAATTTTTTGACTTTAGCCCTGCACCAGCTTGTCATGCCTGAACATTCTATGCATGCAACTGGAGAGGTTCTGAAAATCGATTCATGATGAAGGTAAATTTTGTGCTGCCATTGATCTGAGAACCCAAAATGGAAAAATCATTAAAGACTTTTCTTAGTGTAGATTTTTGTTCCCCTCCAATGATACTTTGAAGAAAGCTTGGATTCCCACATTATTCTGACCACATTTTACATGAATAAAAACCAGCCATAGTTAACACTTTTAAAGAGCTTTTAGGGGTTAGTCATCTAGGTTTTTCTCAGATAATCCCAGCCTTGATACATAGGCTGTGGTCAGCTTCAAAAACAGTAGTAACACTAACAGTAATAATATTATCTTCCATTTAAACTAGAGTTAAGGATCAGATGGCTGTCATCTGGCCTAAGCCGGGACAGCCTGCAACACCCTGGTTGATGGGATCGTGGCAAAGAAGGTTGTATTGTGTCTCACTGCTAGTGGTCGGCATGCTTGCAGAACTTCTTCACCTGCAGAAGTATTTGAAACTTGGGTTGTTATAAGAGTTACACCTTTGAATTCAACTACAAAAAAAATGTGTTTTGGATATTTACTCTATACTCTAGCCTTCATTTTACTTTTGGTCTCCTGCGTACTATAGCTCATGTTTCTTCACAAGTTTGGTAATGAAGGTCCGGTGTACAAAAGTTCCGGTGAAAATGATGGAATGTGGGAGCAAAGGGCTGCTCCATCTCCAAAAGAGTCAAAACGAAGAAAAAGACCTCTTAGGCCCCGGAGTTGTTTGGTCCTGGTTGCAAAACCACAGTCACAGGAAAATGATGTTAGAAAGATCTCTCCATCAGGGAGAACCCCATTTGGTCTGCGGTTTATTATTCCATCATTTGTTTGGGCCTTTTTCAGGTAAGCCGTAACTTTGAGCTGGTTGGACGGGTTAACTTGGATCAGCTGGAACAGATGAAGGAGAAAATGGAGAGCTCCAGCAGCGATGATGAGGACAAGGAAGAAGAAATGAACAGCAAGGCTGAAGACAGAGGTTAGTCTCATCCTGCCCTCCCAATCCCAGATGGCATCTGGCATGTCCGTAGTGAGACAGAAGGGAGGCAGGAGGTTGTTGTAGGAGTAACAGAAGGAATGATCCTTCTTAGTTAAGTAGCAGAACAGACTGACTTAGAAAACACATCAAGAGCTGTGTCTTTGTAAACTATTACCAGCTATAGAAACGCCAAGGAAAACAGACATTTTCTCCCTAATTATAGATATATGTTTGTTGAAAAATAGATGGCAGTGATTTGTTTTTAATAAGGAAAACTGGTATCTAGGGAATCTTCAGAATAAGGACAAGCAGACAGCAAGATGGATGACACTGTAGAGCTCTAGAGGAATGAGAATGAACTTCCAGTTGAATGCATATTTAAAATTGCTGCTGGGGCACACACTGCTGGAACTGTAGGGGACGGTGGTGCAAAGAACTTGAGCCCCTACCCCCTGATGTCCCTCTGCGTGGCCCTTTTCTTAACCCCCTTTGTGCTCTGACTTGCTTTGTAAGGAGAGAGAAAGAGAGACCACCTCTTTCATTCAACTATGTATTTACAGAATACACTGGGGAAGGTTTTGTGGGACTTTGGTACTATTTTTCTAACTTCCTGTGAGTCTATAATTATTTCAAAATGAAAAAGTTTTCAAAAGTATATTTAGTTGTGGATATACATTTATGTGATTCAGAGTTGGTTTTCTATATTGTTCAACGTAGAATATTGTGAAAAACCCCAGACTATACATACAAGAATATAGGTTGAGATATGTTACTTTAGTTATTGCAGATTTATCAGAAGCACGTGGATAACATAAACATCAGAAATCAACATTGCAGATATTGACCCAGAGATGAGAATAGTACTAGTTGCCATTACTGAGCATCATTATGTGCTAGCCTCAGTGCTGGTCGTTTTTATATAACATTTTTCTTTAATCTCATGACTAGAGAGGACTGTACATTTAGCCTGCTTGAATTTGGTTTCCAGTTCTGCTACTTACTGTCTAGATGGCTTGGGGTAAATTATTGTATTTCCTTGTACATTCATCATCTGTGAAATAATCACAATCGTAATAATGAGAATAATATCACCTCCCTCCTAAGATTGTTGTAAAGATTTTTTTTAACTTTAAAACTTCAGATTTTGGACTTTTTAAATTTACTTTTTTAAATTATTTTAATAAAAATTGTATATATTTATGATGTACAACATGTTTCAAAATACATATACATTGTGGAAAATTAAATCAAGCTAATTAACATATGCATTACCTCACATACTTGTCATTTTTTATGGTGAGAACACTTAAAATCTACTCTCTTAGCAATTGTCAGGTATACAATATGTTGTTATTAACTGTAGCCACTGTGTTGTACAATAGATCTCTTGAGCTTATTTTTCCTATCTGACTGAAATTTTGTATCCTTTGAACAATATCTCCCCAAACCCCGAGCCCCTGGTAACCACCATTCTACTATCTGCTTGTATGACTTTGACTTTTCTAGTTTCCCCACATAAGTGAGATCATGCAGTATTTGTGCCTGCCTCTGTGTGCCTGTCTCATTTCACTTAATGTAATGTTCTACAAGTTTATCTATGTTGTCACAAATGACAGGATTTCATATTTTTTAATGGTGAATAGTATTTCATGTGTGTATATACCACATTTTCTTTATCCATTCATTTATTGATGGACACCTAGCTTGATTACTTATCTTGGTTATTATGAATAACCCTGCAGTGAAC
Source organism: Homo sapiens (assembly GCF_000001405.40). Classification (NCBI taxonomy): domain Eukaryota; kingdom Metazoa; phylum Chordata; class Mammalia; order Primates; family Hominidae; genus Homo; species Homo sapiens. The sequence continues at coordinate 107,005,174 of NC_000009.12, forward strand.
GTGAGAGTGCAGATATTTCTTCAATATCCTGCTTTCATTTCCTTTGGATATACCTAGGAGTGGGATTGCTAGATCAATGTGGTAGTTCTACTTTTAACTGATTGAGGAACCTCCATGCTGTTTCCATAACGGGTGTACTAATTTGCAGTCCCACCAACAATGCAACAGGAGTTCGCTTATCTCCACATTCTCTCTAGCATGTTATCTTCACTCTTTTTGATAATAGCCTCGTAACAGGTGTGAAGTGATAGCTCATTGTGGTTTAATTTGCATTTCCCTGATGATTAGTGATGTTGAACATTTTTTCATATGCCTGCTGGCCATTTGTATGTCTTCTTTTGAGAAATGTCTACTCAGATAGATGATTTTCTGTTGAGTTGCTTGATTTTCTAATACAGCATGGGTATTAATTCCTTATCAGATGTATGGTTTGCAAATATTTTCACTCATTCCATAGGTTGTCTATTACTGTGTTGATTGTTTCCTTGGCTGTGCAGAAGCTGTTTAGTTTGATGTAATTCTGTTTATCTGTTTTTGCTTTTGTTGCCCATGCTTTTGAGGTCATATCCAAAAAATCATTGCCCAGACCAATGTCATGGAGCTTTTCCCCTTTGTTTTTGTCTAGTAGTTTTATAGTTTCAGGTCTTATATTCAAGTTTTTAATTCATTTTGAGACGATTTTTGTATCTGGTGTGAGATAAGGATCTAATTTCATTCTTCTGCATGTGGATATCCACCTGTTCCAATACCATTTATTGAAGAGACTGCCCTTTCCCCATTATGTGTTCTTGGCACCTTTGTTGAAAACCGATGGACTGTGAATGTGTGGATTTATTTCTGGGCTCTCTATTCTGTTCTGTTGGTCTGTGTATCTGTTTTTTATGCCAGTACCATGCTGTTTTGATTACTATAGTTTTGTAGTCAACTTTGAAGTCGGGTAGGGTGGTGCCTCCAACTTCGTTCTGTTTGTTTAAGATTTCTTTGGCTATCCAGGGTGTGGTTCCATGGGTTGTTGTAAAGATTAAATGAGATAACACAGAAGACCTTCACCCAGTTCCTAGAATATAACAATCACCTAATAAATGATAAGCCTGCAATGTAGGTGTTATTTTTGTGATTTCACAAATGGGAAAATAAGGACCCAGGAAATTTAAGAGCATGTTCAAAGTAAAAAACAAAACAAACAAACAAACAACAACAAAAAATATAAACCCTGGAGACCAAATTCAATTCAAATTTACATCTTCTGGCTCCAAAGGCAAGCCCTCTTCTTACCCTGCACACCACTTTCCCAGTGCTTCGAGTAGTGTAATCTTCACTGAAGGGGACCTGACCCTGAAATCTGTGGATTCAGTGGCCCTTGGGACCTTGCTGTAAGGAGCAGTTTTGCAGAATTTCTTTGTGTTTTCTGCTTGTTCTGTCTGCAAACATTAAGGAAGCCTATTGGTGGGCTACTTCCCTCCAAGGTGTTCCCTGTTCCTTTTCCTGACTTGCACTCACCCTCCTACCATGATGCCAGGGCTAAAGACTATGGGTTTGCGAAGGGGGCCCCAGTTTGGCTCTTGAACCCCTGACCAAGACAGTCAGCAGGAAATGACAGCCAAGGTACACTACCCTTTCAAAAACCCTGTGCCTGTATTAACCTGAAAAATACATGGACAAATAAAACATCCTTACCATATAGGTTGATTGTTCTTATAAAGTTATTATTTTTATTAGTAGAGGCTGTATTAATCCATTTCTTACAAGGAAAACGGTTGTGATCGGAGAAGCATGGCTTCTTTCTTTTTTCTTTTTCAAACCATTTCATGAGTATGTTCTTTACAATGATTTCTTAACATCTCTGCACTGTTACCGGAGTTTTCTGGGAGAGGATACTTTTGACAGAAAGACTCCTTTTTCTTCATGACGCTCTGTGGCCTTGCCTTTTCTCCTCTGGAAATAAACTGTTTCTCATTGGATATTATTATGGCTTTTTAATCTCTAAAGCTGAGCATGTGTGATTTCAAAGGTTATAAGCATTATAAAGGCAAAATACCCTTCTAGGCTTCTGCTCCCCTATGACTCCTTATAAAAAAGAAAAGGAAAGAAAGAAAACTCGAATTTAAAACATGGTGGTTGAGATGTGTGTGGTATACCAGGCAGACCTCCTTATTTTACCCTACTTGGCAGCCCCCTTTTACTTGGCACTGTGGCATTACACTGGAGTGGTTTGGCTGGAAAGAACTTCAGGGTCTCCTCTTCTCACTGGAAAAAGTATAGTGTCCACATTCGTGAGCTTTACCACATGGGGGAACAAAAAGCCCTCAGGGTGGAGAAGCACGTATTCCTCTCAGAGGGTGGGGGATTTACATGAGTAACTTCCAGTCACATTAATGGGAATTACAAGCCTAAACCTTCCCTTCCCCCTCGCCGATCCTTGAAAGAGCAGCCTCCTTTGTCCCATCTCTCCTTTGAATAGACCAAGAATCAACTTTCCACCATCTAGGTGTATTCTTGGCAGGAAAAAGAAATACACACAATAGCCTCGGGTGTTTCTGCTAGACATCCCAGCTTCTAGGAGCAGAGGGCAGGAGGTGGCTTGCGTGCAGCTCTCAGGCTGGTGGAGAGCTCTTGGAAGTGTGGCCAGTGCCCAGTGGCCTCCTCCTTTGAGGATGGAACTTAGTATGTGCCATTGGAAAGGACAGATGACTGGTTTCCTATTTACAGATTAAGGGTAAAGAAACAAGTGTACCAGGAACATTATTCCTCTTGTTGGCAATTTAGACTTTTATCAGACACCCTCAGTTTAGGGGGTTCACAGCCTCGCAGCCACCCCACTCCCTACCTCCTTTCTAAATGCAAGTGCCGGACTGAATATGGACACGCTGCAGGTCCTGCCTAGGAAGCTCAGGGAAGATTTGAAAGAGAAGAATCCAGGCATGAAGAAATCAAAATTAACCCAAGCAGAATCCTCCCCACCCCCCTCTCATTATGCAGTTGGGGAGGAGTCAGGAAGGCATTCTGTTGATTTCTTGCCCAAGATAATCCCTGCTAAGGAATTAATGCGCAGAGCAGATGGTGCTGTCTCATTTCCAATGAAAAGAATCAAGGAAGATAGTCTGTGCAATTATTTTTAATGGCTTGTGTGGTGATCTTCTTAATTTGTGAGAAAATGTTTCATCTTTTGTTAAATCTGGCCCCAGTCACATAGCTGTTTGTGCTGAAGATTAAGGCATCACAGAGCCCCCCATCCTGTTAACATCGTCCTGAGAATC